>NW_025791784.1:0-106905 GCF_000001405.40 Homo sapiens
ACTGAGGTTTCTTGGAATATAGGTTCAAAACAAAAATGGACTGCTACTGCCCTACAGCCCCACACAGGACTGGCCTTAAAAGACAGCAGTAAGGAGAACCCTCCCAAAAGGCATAATGTGGGGCAGTATTCCTGGTCATCAACTGTGTGTGGAAAGAAAGTGTCTTGAACTAAGAACATATTTTCATGGCAAATAAGTTGGCTAGTTGATCAGGGGTCTGGAATAAGACTGGTATATCAGGGACAAGAAGTCTGGAGAAGCAGAGGAGAAATATATCAGATATGGCACATAAGGAGGGCTTTTTGTATTGTATAACACAATCTTTATCTGCCAGAGACAATCCAACATGTAAGCAGCATTAAATAACCAAGTAGACAGATTTAGCCAGTAAACTTCAGCAGCTACAACCATCGGCTCCACCGCCCCCTCCCTCCGCCCCCAGGAATGGCACAGGGGGCTTATGACAAAGTAGTCATCTTGCAGGAATGCAAGTGAGCAAGAAGCCAATAGATAGCCTCCACTTATCCAATAGCCACTCCCCAGGCTGGGCGCGGTGGCTCCTGTCTGTAATCCCAGCACTTTGGGAGGCTGAGGTGGGCGGATCACCTGAGGTCTGGAGTTTGAGACCAGCCTGACCAACATGGAGAAACCCCGTCTCTACTAAAAATACAAAATTAGCTGGCCGTGGTGGCGCATGCCTGTAATCCCAGCTACTCACGAGGCTGAGGCAGGAGAATCCCTTGAACCCAGGAGGCAGAGGTTGCAGTGAGCCGAGATGGCGCCACGGCACTCCAGCCTGGGCAACCAGTGAAACTCCGTCTCAAACAAAACAAAACAACAACAACAACAACAACAAAATAGCCACTCCCCAGTGTTAAACACCAAGTTCCTGATACAGCACCAACCCTCAAGGATACCAAACAGCTACTTGGGCAGCAAATTGATTTATGTTGGATTCCTTCCATCCTAGAATGGGCAGTGATTCTCCTTGACTAGAAACTGCCCATCTGCATGTATGAGTTTGACTTCCTTGCCTATAAGTTGTTGGCCAGCTCTACTACTCACAGGTTTACAGGTATTTGATCCATCAACATGTATCCTGTGTAATATTGCCTTTGATTTAGGGATGCACTTTACAGCAAAGGAGGTGTATCAGCAGGTACATAACCATGAGATCCACTAGTCCTATCACATACTATATAACCGAGAAAATGCGGGTCTGATGGAATGATGAAAAACCCTTTTGAAGGTGAAACTGAAGCAAAAGCTTGAAGATAATAGCCTGTGAAAATGGAATGACCTTGTCCACCAGGGTACAGTATATACTCTAAATCAACACTCATTTTATGGTGCTGTGTCTCATATATACATAACATGCATGTTTGGGAATGAAAGGATATAAATAGAATTCCTACTGTGTAGTAGGCTGAATAATGGCCCCCAAATATGTTCAGATCCTAATCCTGGATTCTATGAATATTTTACCTTCAAGATAAAAGAGACTTTGTGGATATGACTAAGTTAATGATCTCAAGATACAGAGATTATCCTGGACTATCCAATAGGCCCAATATAATCATAAAGATTCTTACAAGAGAGAGGCAGATTTGCCTAGTAGATGCAATGACTTAAGCAGGAGGATGGGGTGATATGAGTAAGGGGCCATGAGCCAAGAAATGTAGGTAGCCTCTAGAAATTGAAAAAGGCAAGGAAACAGACTTTTTCTTGAAGACTTCAGGAAAAACAGTCCAGTTGATATCTTGATTTTAGGCTTCCAGAACTGTAAGAAAATAAATTTGTGTTGTTTGAAACCACTAAGTTCGTAGTGTCATAGCAGTGATAGGAAATTAATATAACCACATACTCTCACTCCCAGTGACCCAAGTGGGGAGTTTGGACTTCTCATCCCCGCAACTTTGTGAATTAGAAGTCCTGATTCCCAAGAGAGGAACCTTTTCATCAAGAGACACAATAATAGATCCTTTAAACTTTAACTTGCTGAGGTTTCCCGGTTCAAGGTCCTTGTGCTAGGAGACCAGCAGGCAAGGAAGAGTCACCATGTTAGTTGGGGTAAATGAATCCAATCATCAGGAGGAAATAGCGTTATTGCTACACGATGATGGCAGGAAGGAATATACCTGTAGTTTACACTCAAGACCATATAGTGGTCTCTTGATATGTCCCAATATCAAGTAAAGTGGACAACTTCCAAAACAGCAGGGTAAACATCTCCAAATACTGGCTTCTCTATAAAAGCAATGAGAACACAGGCAAAAATGGTCAGTCAACTTTTTCAGAACTCTAGAAAGTAACTAAAAGCTTGAAATAATCTGAGGTGCCTCTATTTGAGAAAAACAGCTAAATCTTGGTAAACAGGGAAGCATTTTAACTTGCCTTATTCCCAGCCCCCACCTCTTAATACAATGATAAATAGTAATGGTGACAGTGAGCAACCTTCTTACTCTTAACTTTAGGGAGAATGCTTCCAGCATGTTTCACCATTAAGTGATATGCTGTCCTTTGTTAAGCAGTATCCAGAGTCCTATTATATTGTTGGCTTATCATGTTTCCCACTGCACTCTAGTGTCACTTTTCTAATGAATCAAGTGACCCTATATGTGTGGAGTTTTTCTAGACTTTCTGTTCTGTTCTGTTCCATGGGTCAGTTTTTCTATCCATGCACCAATACTATCTCGTCTTCATTACTATAGCTTAGAATAGGTCCTGATGTCTCACAGTATAAATCCTTCAACTTTGTTTTTTAAGACTGCCTTAGGTATTCTTGACCTTTTCCAGTTTCTTAGGAATTTTAAAATTGGCTTTTTGATTTTTGGAAAAAAGAACCTGCTGAGATTTTTTTTTAATTGAGATTACATAGAATATATAGGTCAACATCTTTACAATACTGAATCTTCCATCTTGAAGTTTTATTATATCCAGTTGGGTGTAACTGTGAAATGAGAAGCAATTATCAGAAACCCGGATTACAGGATCCCACCTAAGGTGAAAGGTCCTATACTTCCCATCAGTGGGATACTATAGCCATCTTCTCTGGGCTCTCTGCTTTGACAGATGTTTTCAACTTAAGTATTACCTGTATTCTTCCTCTCAGCAGTATCTCAGTCCTCAGATTATGCTTGACCGTCACCGAAGATGAACATATTTTATCATTCACTCATATTCTAATGTAAATTAAGTCCTACTTATTTCATACAATAATTCGAACTAATATCTTCACAGCACTCCTGAGTCATAAATGGAGTCACTGCAAAGTGCTGTGCACTGCAAAGTGCTGTGTGTAGTAACAGGGGTTCCAATGAGTGTATCTCCTACAATTGGTTTACTACATGCTATACTAGGTATTTAAGATGTATTGCTTTAATTCTTGTAAAAAAGCAAGAGAACATACTTGCAGAGGATCAGATCTTAGGCTCTGGAATCAGAAAAATATGAATCAGAAACCTGGCTCTGCCACTACTATTGACTGATTAGTTCTGTGTCCTTGGACAAGTTTGGTGAGGGCTAAATTGGATAGTGCATGTCATGTATTTCATATCTTATGTGGCAATATTCTTTTCCCCAAATGATACTAAAGATTAGACAGCTTAAATACTTTGCCTCAAGACACAGAACTAGAAAGAGGCAGAAGAGGGCTAGCATACTGCCAAGCACATAGAAAGTATTCAGTAAATGTCTGCTGAATGAACAAACCACAGTCAGTATATACTCAACATTTACTTCAAATACCACTATATTCTCTGTTGTTTCCTTTAACTTATGCAACAAACTTAAAATATTTTTTATTTCCATAGGTTTTTGGGGAACAGGTAGTATTTGGTTTCACAGGTAAGTTCTTTAGTGGTGATTTGTGAGATTTTGGTCTACCCATCACCCAAGCAGTATACACTGAACCCAATTTGTAGTCTTTTATCCCTTACCCTCTTCCCACCCTTTCCCCGAGTCCCCAAATTCTATCATGTCATTCTTATGCCTTTGCATTTTCATAGCTTAGCTCCCACTTATGAGAACATATGATATTTGGTTTTCCATTCCTGAGTTACTTCACCTAGAATAATAGTCTCCTATCTCATTCAGGTCGCTGCGAATGCCATTAATTCATTCCTTTTTATGGCTGAGTAGTATTCTGTCATATATTTATACCACAGTTTCTTTATCCACTCATTGATTGATAGGCATTTGGGTTGGTTCCACATTTTTGCAATTACGAAGTGTGCTGCTATAAACATGCATGTCCAAGTATCTTTTTCATGTAATGACTTCTTTTCCTCTGGGTAGATAACCCAGTAGTGGGAATCCTGGATCAAATGGTAATTCTAGTTTTAGTTCTTTAAGGAGTCTCCACACTGTTTTCCATAGTGGTTGTACTAGTTTACATTCCCACTTCTACATACACAGCAGTGTAGAAGTAGCAAAAACAAACTCTTACTATTTATTTGGCATCTACAAAACCAGAAAATTCAAATAGAATTTTGATGGGCACATCTGAATTTACTTTAATGAGAAGAGAAAAACCATAAAGTAATTTAGGATAAGAGATCAATTGCAGTAATTCCCAGGGTCTGAGAAAAAGTTATGGCATATATTTTCACCATCAATCCTACTTGCTTTGGTTGGAATGTGTCCCCCAAATTGCATGCATTGGAAACTTAATCCCCAATATGGCAGTACTGAAAGGTGGGGCCTTTAAGAAGTGATTGGGTCATGAGGGCTGGTGATCCATTCATGGACTAATGGGTTGATAGATTAATGGGTTACTATAAGAGTGGGATTGGTGGCTTTTTTTTTTTTTTTTTTTTTTTGAGACAGACTCTTGCTCTGTTGCCCAGGCTGGAGTGCAGTGGTGTGATCTCGGCTTACTGCAACCTCTGCCTCCCTGGTTCAAGCGATTCTCCTGCCTCAGCCTCCCACCACGCCAGGCTAATTTTTTGTATTTTTAGTAGAGATGGGGTTTCACCACGTTGGCCAGGCTTGTCTCAAACTCCTGACCTTAGGTGATCCACCCACCTCGGCCTCCCAAAGTGCTGGGATTACAGGCGTGAGCCACCGTGCCTGGCCTGGGACTGGTGGCTTCATAAAAAGAGGAAGAAAGGCCTGAGTGGGCATGCTCAGCCCCCCTGATCCCTGCAGTCCCCACCAGCAACAAGATTCTCCCCAGATGTGGTCCCTCCACCTTGAAATTCTCAGCCTCCTCCCTAACTGCCAGAAATGAATTCCTTTTCTTTATAAATTACCCAGTTTCAGGCATTCTGTTATAAACCACAGAATACAGACTAGGACACTACCCTTCCTACCAGTATCCCTATCTTCCACTTGAAGAAAATACATATTAGTAGAAGTGGGGAGTGAAGGGGTTAAATCCAAGTGCATGTTTCCTACTGCCTCCTCCCACTACAGAAGCTAGGGTGCAGATACATGATCCAATAAGCTTGACCAATTGGATGGTGATGTAATTTGGATCTCCCCTGCAAATCTCATGTTGAGATGTAATTCCCAGTTAGAGGTAGGGCCTGGTGGTGTTTGGGTCATGGGGACTGATCCCTGATGGCTTGGTGTTGTCCTCACCATAGTGAGTTCTCATGAGATCTGATTGTTTAAAAGTGTGTGACACCTATCCCCACCCCCTCGCTCCTGTTTTTGCCATGTGAAGTGCCTGATCCTACTTCACCTTCCACCATGAGCAAAAGCTTCCTGAGGCCTCCCCAGAAGCAGATGCAGGCACTAGGTTTCCTGTACAGCCTGTAGAACCGTGAGCCAATTAAACTTCTTTTCTTATAAATTACTCAGCCTCAGGTACTTATAGCAATGCAAGAATGGCCTAATATAGGTGGTCTCTCCTGGGACTTGAAATCTTGAGGAATAATGAAAATAACCCCTTAATAAATTCCCTTTTTGCTTAAGATAACCCAGAAGAATCAGTTTCTGTTGTAGGAAACAAAGACTTCATTAATGCAAATGTCAAGAGAAAATTCAAACTAGTTTTTACACATCCTACCTGTAAAAGTTTTGAAAGCTACTAAAAGGCTTTCTGAGCTGTTAAATCTGAAGGATTTATAACAGATTGTTATTTTCAAACACGAGTATTCTATGTATACAGTTTGTGTGTGTGTGTATTCACACACACACACACACACACTCATGAACCACACTGTGCAGACTCAATATAAATGTACACCTGAGTTGTGCAACATTCAAATCAATGCAGAAATCAAGCAAAGATTAGATTCAGTGAATTGTAGCTATTTCTTGGAAACATTACCTTTTTTTTGAGACAGGGTCTCACTCTGTCACCCAGGCTAGAGTACAGTGGCGTGATCTTGGCTCACTGCAACCTCTGCTACCCAGGCTCAAGGCAGGCTCAAGTGATCCTCCCACCTCAGCCTCCTGAGCAGCTGGTACCACAGGCCTATGCCACCATGCCCAGCTATTTTTTTTTCCCCCAAGACAGAGTCTCACTCTGTCACCCAGGCTGCAGTGCAGTGGCGCCATCCTGGCTCACTGCAACCTCCGCCTCTCGGGTTTAAGCAATTCTCCTGCCTCAGCCTCCCAAGTAGTTGGGATTACAGGTGCCCACCATCACACCCGGCTAATTTTTGTATATTTAATAGACATGGGGGTTTTACCATGTCGGCCAGGCTGATCTCGAACTCCTGACCTTGTGATCCGCCCGCCTCGGCCTCTCAAAGTGCTGGAATTACAGGTGTGAGCCACCGCGCCCAGCCCACATCCAGCTATTTTTACAATTTTTTTGTAAAGATATAGTTTTGCCTTGTTGGACAGGCTCGTCTTGAACTTCTGGCTCAAGCAATCCACCCTCCTTGGCCTCCCAAAGTGCCGGGATTTCAGGCATAAGCCACCACACCCAGCTGGAAACATCTTTTATCTTAAAAATTCCTAAGCATCCTATAAATTACCTCATTACTATAAATTTAATTTTAACGTAGTATTTTAACACAGTTGCCAGGACCTCATTCAAACCTTCATTTTATAGATGGAGAAAGAGAGCTCACACAGGGGTGTCCAAGGGAGATAATACAGTCATGGGTTCTTAGTTTCCGCTTCTGGTTGGGTCAGTAAATACCTCCTCATCTCTCTTTTCCGCTTATCACTAGAAACAGAAACTAAAAACCATGGCTTCAGGCTGTTAACAGCCTAAAACAAAACAGAACAACAACAGTAACAAAATAAGGTGGGTTGGACAAGTTTGGCAGAGAGCCTGCTTGGAGAAGCTGTGTGAAAAAAAAAAAAGACTGCCACCGCTCCTGAAAGTTCTCGGCCCAAGATGGAATTTAGTCAAAGAAACTCTTACACTAATAAAATTTGTACATCAAATTAAGATCAGGGACAGTTAAAACATTAATAAAGACTGAAGCATTTGTTCATTTAAAAAATTTTATTTAATATTTACATTTATTTTTAAAATAAAAATTAGAGGAAAGCCCATGAACTCATTTTCCATGAACATAATATAATAGTACTCACCTATCTCCTCTACCCAACTTGTGTTTTAGATGAGTCCTTTTGGATCTTTTTCCCCATAATGGCCTCTCTCCTTTTGCTTTACAGTGCAATCAGGGCAGAATAACAGATATGTTGAGTAGCTAATTTATATTTCTGAAGATCTCCATAGAACTCTTAAGTTCTAAGTCTTCATAGTCTTTGCACCTTGCCAAGTTTGCTTTCCTTTGGGAATTCTGTCATAACCACAAGGTTATTCCCCAGACATGCAGTTTGGGGAAATTAACCCGGCAGTAGTAAACAGACTGGATTAGAAAAGGTGGCAGTCGTAATAAGGATATTCCAATAACCGGGGAAAGCTACAGAAGGATCTTGAGTTAGGATGATGACAGTTACAATAGAAAGGAGACCAGTACAAGAGACGGTGAAAACAGAATGGATACAATTTAGTTGAAGAATTGGCTGTGGGTGAAAAGAAGAAATCAAAGATGCCTGAAGTTGTGAGTTTCAGGTAGCCCTGAGTTTATAATCCTAGTTCTGACTCGTACTATCTTTGGATATACTAGCTGCTGACTACTAACTGAACAAGGTAGTAACCTTGTCATCTTGTAACTTACCTAAGTCTGTTTCCTCCTCTATAAAACAAACTATCAAAATAAAGCCGATGAAAAGATTGAAGTAAAACATAAAACCCTTAGCACAGTGCCTAGTATCCATTAAGCAGTAGATAAATGATGGCGGTCATTATTAGGGAGTAGGGTAAAGAACAGAAGGTTAAAAACATGAGTAGCAGTAAGGACTTTTGGGTGGGGATTCGGTCTTTCTACTACACATTACACATACCTCTAAGCAGAGAAAGGGGTTGGAGGGGAGTTTGATAATGTGACTAATAATCCTCCTCCCCCTGGGGGGGATCTTGATAAAGGATAGCCACCCACATGGAGGCCTAATATAAACTGGATTGCAGAATGCACTTGAGCTGGGAGCCCAAGCGGGCCAGGCTTCTTGATTCCTATTTTATCCCCTTTAACCTAGGATAGCTAGGTCTATAGTGCAGACTCAGACCTAACTTACACTTTCATTTGCAGCTGAAGTTTCGGAACAAAGACAAAGATAGCCAGATCATATTAATTACACGGATAGGCAAGAAAGCATGAGCCCTGAGGAGGAAGGAAGGGACTGTCCAGGTGTACTTACCTCAAAGATGAGAAATATCAAAGACAGGAAACCCTAGGTTCTTGCCCTTCAGTCGCTATCTCCTTGCCATTAGTAAAATGCGGCCGATGAATGTCCTCACTTCTGTCCATCTGGGCAGGAGGTGGGAAGGGTGACGTGCAAATGGATGGGAGGAACCCTTTTTTCGGCAGCACCCACCACACCCAGCCTAGTGCCACGCACCGCAAGCGCTCCATAAACGCACACAGCGTCGCCTCTACCAGGATCCCGGGCGGCCTTCGCGGGATTTCTCCTGGCGTCGGCTTTCAGACTCCCGAGGGTGGGATAAATCGAGAGGGTGGCATCCTTTGGCTTTTCTTCTCCCAGGCAGCTCTGAACCATGTTTATGCAACGTTTAATGGGCTCTAATAAAACGGCTAATAATTTTGATCCGCGGAAGCACCGACTCGCTCGCTAAGCCGAATCTGCGAGGGTGAAGCTGCAACTCCAACGCCGGAAAGCGCGGCTACCGAAAAGCGCATGCGCCACGGGGTGGCACGAAGCTAGAGTAAGCTGAGGAGGTGGGCGGAAACCATGGCAACCATGGGTGATGACGACATGGGGAGCGTCTCTAGCGCTGGATTATGACGCTGGATTATGACGCAGGCAGTGGGCGCGGACTCTGCGGTTCGCTTGACTGACGGCGCAGCCTCCGGGCCTAGCCACAGCAGCAACGGCAGAGGCCAGCGGGCGAGGTCAAGATGGTGGCTCCGCGGGCGGGGGAGGCAGTGGAGGGAGGAGGAGTCAGACCTTAGCCAGCCGGAAACACCGAAACCCAGAGACCTCCTGGGGAGCCGCCGCCGCCGCCCTCTCGGCCATCGCTGCCTCCGCCGCCTGCTCCACCTCGAGGGACGCGAGCGGGCGGCGGGGCTGGCCGTGAGAGAGACAGGAGAGGAAGGAGGGCAGGGGCGGAGTTGCCCGCCTTAGCCCCCGCCCCCGGCCGCGGCCCCGGGCCCTGCCCCGCGCGGCCCTGCCCGGCCCACCGAGCCCTGGTGTGGCAGCGGCTCATGGCGGCCGTGGGGCCCCCGCAGCAGCAGGTGCGGATGGCCCATCAGCAGGTCTGGGCGGCGCTCGAAGTGGCGCTCCGGGTGCCCTGCCTTTACATCATCGACGCCATCTTCAACTCCTACCCGGATTCCAGCCAAAGCCGGTTCTGCATCGTGCTCCAGATCTTCCTCCGGCTCTTTGGTAAGGGAACAGGGTACCGTACGTCCCGGGACGGCTATGCGGGCCGAGACGTTCCCCGGGGAGCGGGCAGGCGCGCAGAGGCCATGGGTCGAGTATGTGTCTTTGGGAACTACAGTTTCATCCCTCAAAGGGTCGTCTTTACGGGTTGGGAGGGGGAAGGAGATGATACTTGTCTGAGTTGACAGCGGAGCAGTCCCCCTAGCGAGGATTCAGTGTTGTACCTGAGTGAGGTGGGGAGAAAGTAAGGATGTGTGAGCATGCAGCTCTTTGCCCGTTTGCCTTGGGAAATGAGTACTGGCTTACCGCGTCCTATGCGACAGCCTTCGAAAAACAACTCTGCTATCCCAGTCTCGTCGTGTGTGACCTTGGACTTCTGCCAAGGCGTGGGCCTCAGTTTCCCTTTATTACCAAATGCCGAGTACTTGTATGTTGTCACTTCTGCTGCACCCGAGGGTCCACAGGATCGTGAAGTGTCTGCAGTAAATGACATCCAAGCGAAGGAGACAGGGTTTTGAATGTCAGACCTTGAAACCATTACCAAAAATTCTCATGAAAGCGGCGATGCTTAAATCGAGTCCTAAAATTTTCCATGAATAAACGAGAAGGTATTGAAAGTGACTGTAAAAAGTGATGAGACATTTGCCAAAGAGACTTCTGAAAATCATTGTCTTTGTTTCGTATGGATGGAGTGTTAAAAGTATCTTATATTTCATTTCTTCCTTTCCATCTTCACTTACATCATCAGAGGGAGATGCATTTATGCGTAAAATAATTTTTTAAGTAATTGTAACTTGGCAAATTTTGTTGATGAGGTAATTCTGGTGATCGGTCTTAAGTAGGCTAGTGCTTTTGAAGTGTTGCTGAGGGCAGACTGATGGTGAGGTCTTTACCAAGCCTTTCTGAATTACAAGCCATCTGTTGCTTTATTCCTTCAAAAGAGGAGTGGCAATAAAGGCCGAATTTTGTTCTTAGCAATAAATAGCCATATTTTACATTTATCTGGTATTTTCCTTTTGCAAAGCATTTTCACTGGTAGGTATTATCTAACCTAACCTTCAAACATCCCCCAGAGGTGGGTGGTGGTATTGTCATTTTACAAACCAGGAAACAGGGTCATAGAGGTTAAGTGTTTTGCTCTTGGTAGGCTGCCGCTAAGTGGTTGCCAGAGCCTGAGCTTAAAAATCTTTTGACATTAAATATGGTTTACTTTCCTCCCTAACAGCTGCAATCCAGATACAGAATGCAGTAGTAATGATCATATGCTAGATCTTAAAACTAAAGATGTAAACGTGATGTTCAGCCCAAGCTGCTTCAGTAACCCACCTGCTACCTAATTCCAGCCTTTCCTACTTGCCACTGCTAACGTATACCACCACCATAATTTGTGTTAAAAACTGGGCTCTGTTTGAGAGGATTCTGCATGTTCATCCCAGAAACAGTGTAGTGACTGCTTTGAATATTCTTACAGCATGATAACTGCAGATTCTGTGAGAATCCCTTTGGGACCTGGTGCTTTAATGCAGTAGTCTGTTGAGCTTCAGGTTAGGCAGCTTCAAGGAAAAGAAGTATTTTCTTTAATTAAATAATTTGTAGTGTAAGAACATTGAACAAAGCAATCTGATATTTTCCTTGTACTAGGCATGTTTCTTTTGTAATAAATCTTGGAAGTTTGTGTTTGACAAAGAACAACATGACTTAAGGCAACTGCTCAGTGCTTTGGTTTCTTATTTTTACCTTTTAAAAGATGGAGAGTGAGGTTATCTGTTTCATAGGGTGTTAAAGACAATAAATCTATTTTAATGCTTCATTTAATACCATATTTTGTTAGATATTTTGGTCTTTTGAAATCATCGGCAAAATATTGGTGTTGTTTATTTGAAAATTTTGATCCCTGGAATCTCTGGATCAGACTTTGAGAAATACGAAATACTCTTCAAATCTATCATCCGACTCTTCTTACTGTGTCATGTAATTATGCTAATTTTTCACATTTGTAAGGATGATAAGAATGAAAAAAACTGATTTCGGTGCTAAAAAATTATGTTACTAAAAGACACAGGTTTGTGTGTAAATATGCCAATGGATAGTTGAAATTAATCGTTCTGCCTTGTTAGTTTTTTTGTAGTTGTAGACTTCTCAGTACTACTGTGTATAAGTCTTACCACTTGTCAACCTCACTTTTTTCTTTAAAATTAATGTGTAAAAATGGAAATCTCTAAGTAAAAAGCATTACCAGTTTTATGTGTGGTGGTAGAAGTATTTACTCCCCTCTACCTACAAAATGGTGCTACAACTGTACCTTCATTTGATATCAAACTAATTTGAGATTTCAACCGGTTAGAAAATAAAGCAACTCATTTTGGAGATCCAAATAAAATTCTATGACAATATATGGAATATTGAAGAACATAAAGCTGTGTTTTAAGGGATGTTAAATACTAAACGAAACTCAACCCAGAGCAGCATAATGCTGAGTTAGCAAATTTAAATCCAAGGCAGAAAATGCAAGCCTAGGAGTTTGTTTTAATAGTATTACTAATATGGTGATAATTCATTGAGGTGGGAAAAGGCTTTAAACATAACAGAAGACCCAGAAGTTCCAAGGAAAAATCTGAAAAATTTCAGTACATAAAAATAAAAAGCTTTTTTATGGCAAAGCTTAAAAAAGAATCCTTAAATGACAAACTGAGATAAAATACTTCTATCATAAGTGATTCACGTTCCAGTAAGAGTTTTACCCTGCCAGGGAAGCTGAGGCAGGAGAATCGCTTGAACCAGGGAGTTGCAGGTTGCAGTGAGCCGAGATCGCTCCACTGCACTCCAGCCTGGGGATAGAGTGAGACTCTGTCTAAAAAAAAAAACAAAACAAAACAAGAAAAAACTTATACTCCCTTAGGAAAATGCCTAAGACAAGCAATTCACAATAAACAAAATGCAGATGTTCAATAAGCAAGAGAAAAAGTATTTAGCCCTTCCTGCAGTAGCTTGATTTTATGGGGGAAAAAAAAAAGTACCTAGCCTTGTTTATAATTAAATACTGTCAAGACCGCTTACGGTGGCTCACGCCTATAATCCCAGCACTTTGGGAGGCTGAGGCAGGCAGATTGCTTGAGGCCAGGAGTTTGACACCAGCTTGGCCAAATGGCACAACCCGTGTCTACCAAAAAATTAGCCGGGTGCAGTGACTCCTGCCCATAGTCCCAGCTACTGTGGAGGCTGAGGCACGAGAATCTCTCGAATCGGGGAGGTGGAGGTTGCAGTGAGCCAAGATCGCGCCACTGCACTCCAGCCTGGGCGATAGAGCGAGACTGTCTCAAAAAAAAAAAAAAAGTCAAAAAAAATTTATCAGATTGGTGAAGAGTTCAAAGTTTTATTAGTTTTGCAAAGGTATTTACCTTTTTGAAATAGGTAAATTTATACAATTTTGGAAGACTTTTTTTTTTTTTTGAGACGGAGTTTGCTCTTGTTGCCCAGGCCGGAGTGCAATGGCGTGATCTCGGCTCACCACAACTTCCACCTCCCAGGTTCGGGCGATTCTCCGGCCTCAGCCTCCCGAGTAGCTAGGATGATTACAGGCAAGCGCCACCACCCCCGGCAAATTTTTTTCTATTTTTAGTAGAGACAGGTTTTCTCCATGTTGGTCAGGCTGTTCTCCAACTCCCGACCTCAGGTGATCTGCCCACATCGTCCTCCCAGAGTGCTGGGATTACAGGCGTGAGCCACCGTGCCTGGCCCGGAAGACTCTTAATTTCAGTGTAAAACCATTTGGCAGTATCAACTGTCATTTACAACTGACTTCTCAGTGTTTTGTTTTGTTTTTGAGACAGTCTCACTCTGTCACCAAGGCTGGAGTGCAGTGGCGTGATCTCAGCACACTGCAACCTCCACCTCCCAGGTTCAAGCGATTCTCCTGCCTCAGCCTCCCAAGTAGCTGGGATGCCTGGCTCGTACAACTTTTGACTCACAATTTCAATTCTAGGGAATTGGCCTAGAGAGATAGTTTGCTTAAGGACTATGGGCAAGCATTACTGGAAATAACAAAGCAACAAACTTAATCTAAATATGTATTGATACAAATCTGTTCATTGTATTAGGTCTAGCCATGCAATAAAGTTCTTGAAAGAAATGAGATAGCTATTTTTGGTGCCGAAAAAGACTTCAGAAAACCTCTGAAGTGAAAAAACAAAGCCGAAGTAATTATCACTGGCAGAGGAATAGACAGAGATTTCTCAACAGTGGCAGTATTGACATTTTGGACAGGATAATTCTTTGTTTGCGGATGGGAGCTCTCCTGTGCACTGTAAGATTTTTAGCAGCATCACTATCCCCTGCCCATTAGATGCCAGTAGCACCTTGCACCCCCACACCCCAGTGTGACAGCCAAAACTGTCCCTGGATATTGCCAAATCATGGTTGAGAACCATTGGGATAGACAAATAGATTAGTACTTAGCCTTATTTATAATTACATAGCCCAGAAACAGACACCAATGTATATATAGAAATAATGTGTTTCAGAGATAGAATTGAAGTACATTGAGGTAAATATGGACTGTTGAATTAATGATCATTTTGTTACACCTTTGGAAATAAATTATACTAGATGTCTACCTTATGTCAATATATAGACAGTCACTTCTAGGTTGAGCAGTGTAGTGAGACCCTGTCTCTGCAAAAATAAATATTTAAAATAATAGCCATACTTGGTGGTGGGTGCCTGTAGTCCTATCTTACTCAGGAGGCTGGGGTGAGAAGATCGCTTGGGCCTAGGAGTTCAAGGCTGCAAGTGAGCTATGATTGCATAACTGCACTCCAGCCTGGCTGGGTGACAGAGCAAGACCCTGTCTCTTAAAAAAAAAAAATAGTCATTTCTAAGTGTATTCTTACCTAGATGTATATGTAAATATGAAATGCAGAACTTTAAATTTTTAGAAAAAAATATGGAATATTTTATTTTTCCAATCTTAGATTAAGGAAGAAATCCTTAAAAATATATAAAAGCAAATACATAATGAAGATTGATAAACCGAATGATATTGAGGTTAAAAACCTATGTTAATCAAAAGATCGCACCACTGCACTCCAGCCTGGGCAACAGAGCGAGACTCCATCACTAAAAAAAAAAAAAAAAAAAAAAGGAAGTCAAATCTTGGGTAAGGGGGAACTACTGTACTTACATTTACCCATTTATTATAAAGGCAATTACAAAGGACACAGATGAATTAACCCGATGGAAGGAGATGTACAAGGTGAGACAAAGAAGGAGAGAAGAGGAGAAGGGGCGTGGAGCTTCAGTGTTCAGCTATCTGAGAGCTCACAGAACTCAGTCCTTTTGGGCTTCTATGGAAGTTCATTAAATAGGCAAGATTGATTAGATCACTAGTCATTGGTTTATGGACTCAAGTTTCAGCTTCTTTCTTCCCAGAAGTGGCGGCTGGGGGTAGGAATCAAAGTTATAACCCTTAATCACTGGGCTGATTCCCCTGGCTACCTAGCCCCCATCCTGAAGCTATCTAGGGGCCCCCAGGCACCAGTCATCTGATTATTGTACAAAACAGTCATCACTCCAGAGATTCCAAGGATTTTAGAAGCTATGTCAGAAAATGGGACAAAGACCAAATATTAATATTTTTTTTATGATATCACAGATGGGAAAGACAAACTAGAAAAACTTGCTTTAACTCTTCATTTAACACCTCTCTGTAGGGTTTGGCTTTTTAAAATCCATGTTCATATATTTTTGATAAAAGCATACTTATTATAAGTTTAGTTTAAAAGCAAAAGTTTAATTTTGTGTTAATACTTAGAATACCAGGTTTTTTTTCAACCTAAAATGAGAATCCAATAGAAATGTTTTCTTTATAATTTATCAAGTATACCAACAGATTAACAACATTTCAAGACACTTTGTTGTAAACTTCATTGCGGAAGGCTCCCTTGGGAGTAAGGTAGTAGTAACATTTATTTCTGTGCTTTTCCATATTTATTCTGTCAGGTATTGAAATGTTTTTCCACAGGTTGCTTTTTGTTTTAGAGGTATTTCGGGTACTTGGAGAATTGTAAATATTATGTTTTGTACCCTGATTTTTAGTCATAAGTTTCCAAAAGAGGGTAAGGGTATGAATAGACTTTACACATAAAAGAGTGAAACACTTTGTTATGTAACATGTATAGTAAGTTTTTATTTTTTCTTTTGTTTTTATTTGCCTGTTTTTGGTAATCCAAATTGAAAAGGCCTGAACTCTTTCATGAGTTGAGTTCATATATAGTTTCAAAGTTCCTGAATTGATTTGGATACCTGCCTCTTTTTGGCTACCTTGAAAACTCTAGTGAACTCTCTTAATCACTGGAGAATTGGACTGAGATCTCTGAGTTGTGATTTCAGTAAATTCTGTTCTCAAAATTTTTTATAAAGCAGCATTTATATACAGTCTTGATTACTTGTGCAAGTCACTTCCAAATCCTAATGAGAAACTGTCTCTGGACTTTTATATTTTCTTAGACCTACAGTTTAAATACCAAGAAAGGCTTTCATGTCTAATGTAAAAATGCAGTGAAACTTTGATATTATTCTGCAAAGGCCATGAGAAAGATGATTACTTTGGAGACTTGTTACTTAGGATATTGGTTTTTAAAATGAGAGCAGATTCTTCCCAAATTCCATAGGTAGGAACGTGACTATAAAAGGAAAATCTATGAACCCCATATACCTACAAACTTTGGGTAGGAATTAAAACAAACATATACTATTCTTGAAATGTTAACTCACTATTACATCTTGGGGGGTGTGATTTTAATCAGGATAGAGTATTGTCAGATTGTTACTTGCTGGGATACATCCAAATTTTGAGGTTGTAGTCTTACTACATTATTTGTCTATCTGATGCCTTCCCCTTTTTTTCTTTGATACATTTGCATAAAGCAAAATGGCACTTTTTCACTAGAAATGTTTCTAAAACCCAAATAATTTCTTCATTTGTGTGTAGTAAAAACAAGCTTCAGGAAAAAAGTTATTAGAATTTTAAAAATTAGTTATAAAATTATGGCAAAGCTCATGAATAGTTACTGAAGATTAATTTACTACTTTGTGAATAGCAAGTTGACAAAAATAATTTACAGTTCCTGCTTGACTTTCTCCCCTCTAAGTGGCATAAAGTAGAACTAGAGTTATTTTGTTTTGGTTTTGACCCAACTTAGAAGATTTGTTTTAAAGTTTCTGAAGTTTTGTCTCAGGAAAATAAGGTGGTTTTCCATGTAGAGAATGTAAGATTACATATGGCATCTGGTAGGCTGAATTAATTCCATTTTCTTGTTACCTTCCATGGAAGAAGTTTCTAATAAAAAAATCTTTTCAGGGCCGAGCGCAGTGGCTCACGCCTATAATCGCAGTAGTTTGGGAGGCCGAAGCGGGTGGATCACCTGAGGTCAGGAGTTTGAGACCAGCCTGACCAACGTGGAAAAACCCTGTCTCTACTGAAAATGCAAAATTAGCTGGGAGTGGTGGTACATACCTGTAATCCCAGCTTCTTGGGAGGCTGAAGCAGAAGAATCGCTTGAACCTGGGAGGCAGAGGTTGCAGTGAGCCAAGATCACGCCATTGCACTCCAGCCTGGGCAACAGGAGCGAAACTCCATTAAAAAAAATATAAAAAAAAATATATATATATATAATATATATATATTATTTAAATATATATATATTTAAAAATATATATATTAAAAATATATATATATATTTAAATATATATATATTTAAAAATATATCTATTAAAAATATATATATATTATTTAAATATATATATATTTAAAAATATATATATTAAAAATATATATATTTAAATATATATATCTTTAAATATGTATATTTAAATTATATAATTTAAATATATATTAATATACATATTTTAATATATATAATTTAATATATATCTTTAAATATATATTAATATATATTTAAAGATATATATTAAATTATATATATTAAAATATGTATATTAATATATATTTAAATTATATAATTTAAATATACATATTTAAAGATATATATATTTAAATATATATATTTTTAATATATATATTTTTAAATATATATATATTTATATATATATTTTTATATATATATATTTATATATATATTTTTAAATATATATATTTATATATATATTTTTAAATATATATATATATTTATATATATATTTAAAAGAGCCTGTTCTGAGCTCACAACTCTTTGGGGGATTATTAGTGGCCCATTTTCTTGGGGAATCAGGTGGTTTGTATTTAGAGGTTTATATGTCTTCTACTTTATTGTGTCCTTTTGTTTTCCTTTTCACAGATGACTTGACATTTTGGCACAGAATACATTTTAAATCCCTGGACAGAGTCATCACTTAAATGAACTAGCCCTTGCTTATATGTGCAGTGGATTGTGAAATGCGTCTACTGTAATAATATGCAATGTCTTGATTACCTGCTGAAATAAGGTGGATAGATGGATTTTTATTTTATTTAATATTTATTTATTTATGTATTTTGAGACAGGGTCTCACTGTCACCCAGGCTGGCATGCAGTGGTGCGATCTCAGCTAACTGCAATGCCTCCCGGGTTCAAGCGATTCTCCCACCTCAACCCCCTGAGTAGCTGGGAGTACAGGCACGTGCTACCACCCTGGCATATTTTTATATTTTTGGTAGAGACAGGGTTTCACCATGTTGACATGGTCTTGAACTCCTGGCCTCAAGTGATCCACCCGCCTCAGCCTCCCAAAGTGCTGGGATTACCATTGTGAGCCACCACACCCAGCCAAGATGGATTTTTAATTTGGAGTTTGTCACTTTTTCTGTACTCCAGGGTATGGTTTCTCATTGTCTGAAACATAGATTTTATTTTTCAAGCAGGCTATATTTTGTGGTTGCCTTTAAAAACATCCAGATGTGACAGACATTTCCTAATGAATACTAATTGTACTTATTTTGTACAAAATATTGTAGAATCCATAGATGGACAGGGTAGGATCTTTGCTTTCTGTTATAGATACATGTGTAATAGGGTAGATTATACTTAGATAACTGCAGACTACAATATCAGGTGATATATGAGTGTTAAATGTTTCACTAAGTTCTGCAGGTATGCTGAAAGAACAGTTTCTATCAAAGAAAGTAGGTTTCTAGGATAGGTAGGATTTGAATAGTCAGGGATTGGGAGGTTGGGGACATCATTCCAAGCAAAAAGAATGTAAACACTGCTGTAGCTATAGTGGAGAAAGGAATGTGTTTGGGGAATCCAAGTCTGGAGCACTGATGTGTGTGTGTTAGGAGGAATATTACTGTAAAGCAAATTGGGTTCTTGAATGCCAGGAGCAAGAATGTAGATTTTAGTTGATAGTAATTTCAGAGCCGCTGAAGTATTTTGAGCAGGGAATGAAGAAAGGCAATTTGGTGATGGCTTGTAAATGGATTTGGACAAGATGAGGGTTTTTTGAGACAGACTGATTGATTGGTGTCACAGAAAAGGGAGATAGAGGTGTTAGAAGAATTTGGCAACTAATTGGCAAAGTTTGAGCATGTGGGGCTGGGTTGGGAGTATCTCTAAAAGAACAATAATGGTACCTTCAACTGAAATAGCAAATCACAAGGAAAAGCTGATTCTAGTTTAAGGCAAGTCGAGTTTCAGAACTTTGGAGATTTGCAGTTGTAGGAGTGAAAGTAGGTGAGTATTCAGATGTCATTCCCATTGTTGAAACCTTGGATAATAATGTGTTTATTGTAATCCTACTTAAAATATGCATTTCTGTCAGAGTACAAAGAAAGATGGTGTCTATGGAGTGGGGGAAGGAGAATTACCATTTTCTAAAAACATGTCTTGGTTTTCTGAGTGTTACTTTTGTAATGTGAAGAACAATAAAAAGAGTTGACTATTTTAAGAAACAGATTCAGCATTATACAGGAAAAAGGGAACTTGGAAGATGTTTCTAAGTCCGAAGGAAACTAGGAGGAAAAAAAATGGAATTTTGGACCCTTTGGAGAATGCTCAGAGTTAAGGAGTAGGAAATAAGAGCTGGCATGAGTTCACAGTTTGAAGAAAAGGAGGAATTAAGTGGAAGTATAAAACTTGAACTTGATTTCCTAAAGAATCCTTTAAAAAAAAATCTAAAACTTGGCTGGGTGCGGTGGCTCACGCCTGTAATCCCAGCACTTTGGGAGGCAAGGCGGGCGGATCACTTGACGTCAGGAGTTAGAGACCAGTCTGGCCAACATGGTGAAACCCCGTCTCTACTAAAAATACAAAAATTAGCTGGGCATGGTGGCAGGTGCCTGTAATCCCAGTTACTTGGGAGGCTGGGGCAGGAGAATTGCTTGAGCCTGGGAGGCAGAATTTGCAGTGAGCTGAGATTGCACCAGTGCACTCCATCCTGGGCAACAGAGTGAGACTCTTGTCTCAGTCAGTCAATAATAAATGAATCTAAAACTTAATAGGAATAAATGTTTTCCATTTGGGTTATTTTTAACCCAATTTTTAAAATTAATTTTAATGATTATGAAATGATAAAAGACATATTCTTTTGAGTTTTAAAACTTGTTAAAATGTATGTACCACTACAAATTCATCTTGAAAATAATTTAGTAATTTGGTGCCTTGGACAGCTACAGTGTTACTTGAAATACTTTGGAAATTAGAAAGTAAGGAATGAAATTTTAAAGAATAATTTAGTATGTTTGGTCTGTTCTCCTGAACTCTGACTTTACAAAACCTTTATTACCCTTTAAGCCTTAGTTGTCTTGAGGCTTAATGTTCATAACTGAAAATATTCATATTTCCTAATTAAAGGAAGAATATCATAACTCTTAGTGGGGAAACATTCTTACAAATACTTCATTCAAATGACTTTTTCTTTCTTTCTTTTAGGTGTATTTGCATCCAGTATTGTTCTGATCTTGTCACAACGATCACTTTTCAAGTTTTACACGTACAGCTCAGCCTTTCTGTTAGCTGCAACTTCAGTGTTGGTGAATTATTATGCTTCTTTGCACATTGACTTCTATGGTGCCTACAACACGTCAGCTTTTGGAATTGAGCTGCTTCCTCGAAAAGGTCCCTCGCTGTGGATGGCACTTATCGTTCTACAGCTAACATTTGGAATTGGATACGTTACACTACTCCAGATTCATTCCATCTATTCACAATTAATTATTTTGGATCTCTTGGTTCCTGTAATAGGCTTAATCACAGAGCTACCATTACACATCAGAGAGACTTTACTGTTTACTTCTTCCTTGATTCTCACATTAAATACAGTGTTTGTCCTGGCAGTGAAACTGAAGTGGTTTTATTATTCCACACGATATGTTTATCTTTTGGTGAGGCACATGTATCGAATTTACGGATTACAGTTATTGATGGAGGACACATGGAAGAGGATTCGTTTCCCAGACATACTACGAGTCTTTTGGCTAACAAGAGTTACAGCTCAGGCTACAGTGTTAATGTACATCTTAAGGATGGCAAATGAAACTGATTCCTTCTTTATTTCTTGGGATGATTTTTGGGACCTCATTTGCAATCTTATAATTAGTGGGTGCGATTCTACACTAACTGTACTGGGCATGAGTGCTGTAATTTCCTCAGTAGCCCATTATTTGGGGCTTGGAATATTGGCCTTTATTGGATCAACTGAGGAAGATGACAGGCGTCTTGGCTTTGTTGCACCTGTTTTATTTTTTATTTTGGCTCTTCAGACTGGGTTAAGTGGGCTAAGACCAGAAGAGAGACTTATTCGCTTAAGTAGAAACATGTGCCTTTTATTAACTGCAGTCCTGCATTTTATCCATGGAATGACAGACCCTGTATTAATGTCTCTCAGTGCCTCTCATGTGTCATCTTTTCGTAGACATTTTCCTGTGCTGTTTGTCTCTGCTTGCCTGTTTATTCTTCCTGTCTTACTCAGTTATGTTCTTTGGCATCACTATGCACTAAATACATGGTTGTTTGCAGTTACAGCATTTTGTGTGGAACTGTGCTTAAAAGTAATTGTTTCTCTCACTGTTTATACGTTATTCATGATTGATGGCTACTATAATGTCCTCTGGGAAAAGCTTGACGATTATGTCTACTACGTTCGTTCAACAGGCAGTATTATTGAATTTATATTTGGAGTTGTAATGTTTGGAAATGGGGCTTACACTATGATGTTTGAGTCGGGAAGTAAAATTCGGGCTTTTATGATGTGCCTACATGCATATTTTAACATCTACTTACAAGCCAAAAATGGCTGGAAGACATTTATGAATCGTAGGACTGCTGTGAAGAAAATTAATTCACTTCCTGAAATAAAAGGGAGCCGCTTACAAGAAATAAATGATGTATGTGCAATCTGCTATCATGAGTTTACAACATCTGCTCGTATTACACCGTGTAATCATTATTTCCATGCACTTTGCCTTCGGAAATGGCTGTACATTCAAGATACTTGTCCAATGTGCCATCAGAAAGTATACATCGAAGATGATATCAAGGATAATTCAAATGTATCTAACAACAATGGATTTATTCCACCCAATGAAACTCCAGAGGAAGCTGTAAGAGAAGCTGCTGCTGAATCTGACAGGGAATTGAACGAAGATGACAGTACAGATTGTGATGATGATGTTCAAAGAGAAAGAAATGGAGTGATTCAGCACACAGGCGCAGCAGCTGAAGAATTTAATGATGATACTGACTGATGAAAATAGCATTTATTAATGATTGAGGTATTTGTTTAAAATTCAGTTCATCCAAAATGGAGTAATATCCTTCACCTTCAGTGTGTAACCAAGCACAAAAACAGTATCAATGTTGAATCTGTGAATGGTTTTCCGTTTACTGTGATGTGCTACTGTAAATATACCTCTTTAATTACTTCTGGTCTCTTTGGTGACCTGTTTAAATTTGTGTACATTATTGTACATAGAATAAAATGTTTTCACATTTTTATGACAAAATTTGAACAAATAGCTTTTTAATAGATGTAATGATCATATGGTGCGTCACCTGTGCCAAATATTCTTCAATGAAATTATATAATGTAACTTTGGACCTCAGTTTTTCTTTAGAAATGGGTGGGAGAATGAAAATGCAAATCAGGAAACCACATTAAAGTCAAGGAAATAAAATAATTTGACCAGAGGATAAAGGACATGAGAGAGTATTTTAAAACTAAAGAAAAAATTAGCTGCCAGAAGCAACTGAGGACCTTTTTTGAAACTTGAGTAGCAGTGTAATTGAGCTGAGTTTGAAAGTCCTGATTCAGAGAGAGACTGAGGGTTGACAAATAAACTGTATCAACTAAACTTTGATATAAACCAGAATGTGCTAAATGTTTTTTATGTAAAATTGTATATTTGTTAGCCATTCTGTGTCTGCAGTATTGTCATAAAATTGTCCTTTCATTCTTTTGAAGATATTACAAAACAAAAATAGTTTTTTTTAAATTGTTTTAAACTAAGATACTCAATGATATAAAAACATCCTGATCTGATTTTACGAGAAAAAGAAGGGGAATGGTGGGGAATGGTGTGTACCGATATATAGTATTTCTTTAGACAACTTGCAGATAATTTCTTTATTGAAACTATCAGGAAGTTTTACTATGAAATTTTACATACATGATGGAAAGTGGAAGACATATACCAATTATATTCCAGGAAAAAATACTTTAATAGTATTGTTATATAGTGTATTGGCTAATTCCAGTGGATCCTCATCTCTCACTGCTGACATTATCTCCAATATTTGACTAAAACAAAACAAAAACAAAAATGGTTAAATCTCCAAGTATACATTTAGTTCTAAAGCTATATAATATTTTTCCACACAAAGGAAAATATTGGCACACCTTTAATATAATAAAGCTTAACAGTTATTAAGTTTTTCAGCAATATCAATAGAAAAACTTACTGCCAGTAACTGGAAACAGATTTATGGACTGTCTTGCATATAACTAGAGCTAAGAACCAGGTTCAAGTAAATTATTAAAGCAGCCATCTGTATTATGTTCACCAATTATAGCATTAACTGAGTGGAAATGAAGAGTCCTTTTCAATTGTGAGTCATAGCATGTTCATTAGTGGGTCATGATGAGCATTTTAAACATTGACAAGTACATTGTACTCAATAAGGGTAAGTACTGTTCCATTTTTTGTTAGGTTTTATTATGTATGTGTGTCCTAAGTCACAACGTAATTTGTACTGTGGGACAGCAGCCACAGTTGGAAATCTACTGCTAGAGAACTAGTCCTTGAGAGACAGCAAATGAAGGTATTAGGTTGCTGCAAAAGTAATATTTACTTGGAAAAATGTGTGGTTATTGAGGGCGAGGGCTTTCTGTACCTCTACCCTTGCGAGAGAAATAAGCCCAGGTGTCCATCCTTCAGTTTCTTTCTTTCTCTGTCTCTCTCTTCCTTCCCTTCCCTCCCTTCCTTTCCTTTCTTTTTCTTTCCTTTCTTTTTTTTTTCTTTTTTCTTTCTTTTTTGAGACGGCGTCTTACTCTGTTGCTCAGGCTGGAGTGCAGTGGCACGATCTCGGCTCACTGCAACCTCTGCCGCCTGGGTTCAAGTGATTCTCCTGCCTCAGCCTCCTGAGTAGCTGGGATTACAGGCACCTGCCATCACACCCAGCTAATTTTTGTATTTTTAGTAGAGACGGGGTTTCACTATGTTGGCTGGCCGTGGTCTTGAACTCCTGACCTTGTGATCCACCCCACCTGGGCCTCCCAAAGTGCTGGGATTACAGGTGTGAGCCACCGCGCCTGGCCGCATCTTTCAGTTTCTGTGCTTACAGTAATGATGATCCGTAGTGTCTCCATACTTATTATATATAAGTGGAAGATTTTTAATACATGAATTAGAAAGTTCCAAAGTCCAAATTGAACATTTAAATATTCTTTGCCTAAGCTTTTTGTTCCCTTAGTATCTTAAATGTTAACACCTAAAGGAATTAAGGATGGAGATCTAAGATTAATGGGAATTTAAAAAATTGTTTTGTAATGTGACACAAAAGCCTTGCTTGATGTTTATACTAAGCAAACACTACACTAAAATTTTATCTGACAGTCAAGATACACTAAAAGCAAATCTATTAACATTTAAATTAAGACAGTGAAAATCCATTTTTCTTAGGAAACTACTGAATGTCCCTCTGTATGCACTTCTCAGAATTGGAACTCTTGATTAATGCTGCTGATGACACAGTTTTGAAGGTCACAGCAGCTTTGCTAAGATTATATTGCATAGCAAATTCATTTTATTGAAATCGCTTATAAGAAATCTATTGGGCTGGGCCCAGTGGCTCATGCCTGTAATCACAGCACTTTGGGAGGCTGAGGCAGGCAGATTGAACTCAAGAGTTCGAGACCAGTGTGGGCAATATGGTGAAACCCTATTTCTAGTAAAACAAAAAAAATTAGCCAGGCATGGTGGTGGACGCCTGTAGTCCCAGCTACTCGGGAGGCTGAGGCAGGAGAATTGCTTGAACCTGGGAGGTGGAGGTTGCAGTGAGCTGAGATTGTGCCACTGCGCTCCAGCCTGGGCAACAGAGCGAGACTCTCTCTCCAAAAAAAAGAAAAAAGAAAAAAAAATCTATTGGAGCTTAGGACATCCTATTTTACTGTTTGATAATGCAGTTTATGGAAATCTTTCTTCGAATAACCCTTCTGTAGCCAAGCCATGCTATTTCCATACATCTTCAGTGGTCAAAGCTGCAGTTATTCCAAAATGAATATAAAGTTGTTTAATGTCCCTGAGAATTTAGTGGCTTTTGTTTAATGTGGCACTTTTACAGTAAGCACAGGTTTTTGTTTTTTTTTTTTGAGAGAGTCTTACACTGTGGCCCAAGCTGGAGTGCAGTGGTGTGATCTTGGCTCACTGTGTGTGATCACACAGTGGTGTGATCTTGGCTCACTACAACCTCTGCCTCTCAGATTCAAGTGATTCTCCTGCCTCAGCCTCCCAAGTAGCTGGGATTACAGGCGCCCACCACCATGCCCGGCTATTTTTTTGTATTTTTAGTAGAGACAGGGTTTCTCCACGTTGGCCAGGCTGGTTTTGAACTCCTGACCTCAACTGATCTGCCTGCCTCGGCCTCCCAAAATGGTAGGATTACAGGTGTGAGCCACTGTGCCCAGCCAGGCAAAGGTTTTTAAAGTCTTGCAAGATCTACATGATTCCTACCCTATCTCCTTTCCAGCCCTTCCCCATACTGATACAAGTTATAGCTTTAAAAAAAATAATTGCCACTCTCCTGCTTAAAATCCTTTGGGTAGTGATAAAATCTAAGCAAAATGCTGGCATATAAGAGCCCTCACAATCTGGGCTCACTCTACCTTCCCAGACTTGACTTCTGCTTACACTGTGCATCCTACTTTCTGCCACACTTGTTCCTCTGGATTAGCCAGGCCCTTCTGCAGTCTGCCTTTGCTTAAGGTGTTTGTTTGTCTTTCTCTGGCCTAACTCCCAGTCATGGGTAAACAACTGAAATGTCACCTTGGTATAACTCTCTCCTGTTTCCCCTCAAAGCAGACAGTTGATGTGCCCTATGGTCCTGGTCATAGATTCCTACTTGTATAACAGCACTACTATCTTGGACTCTGTCTGCTTATGTGCTCCAGGAGGGCAGGGGTCCTCGCCTGACTCACTGAATGCCTTATCTAAAGTGCCAGGCACAGTGTACCTATTCATCTGGTGGATGGATAAAGACAGGGACTGTCTTGGTTCTTCCTGTGTAGCCTTAGTAACTTGTACCTTTCCTGACATGGCAGGGGCTCCAAAACATCTGTTGCAAACAATGTATATCTAAAAGACCTCTATAAAAATAATTAGAATGTAAAACTGTTAACAGAATGGAGGTTGAGAAAATGACTTTGCAAGTAGCAATTAACTTGCCAACTCATAATTAGCAGTAGATTAGAGGATTGTGTATTTTTTAAATGTGGTTTAAATCTTTTCAGCTTGCAGATGCTAGATTTTCCTAAGCTCTGCAACTAACTGAAGAACAAGTATTGATGAAGCCTTCACAGTTCTTTTTTTTTTTTTTTTGAGATGTATTTTCACTTTTGTCTTCCAGGCTAGAGTGCAATGGTGTGGTCTCTGCTCACTGCAACCTCCGCCTCCCAGGTTCAAGCGATTCTCCTGCCTCAGCCTCCTGAGTAGCTGGCATTACGGGCATCCGCCATGACGCCTGGCTAATTTTTGTATTTTTAGTAGAGACAGGATTTCACCATGTTGGCCAGGCTGGTCTCGAGCACCTGACCTCAGGTGATCCGCCTGCCTTGGCCTCCCAAAGTGCTGGGATTACAGATGTGAGCCACCATGCCTGGCCAGCCTTTATAGTTCTTAAACAGTCTACATTTAAAAACACCTTGAAATTTTGTCTTGCAAATATATAGCTAAAGTCAACAGCTATAATCTTACATAAGATTAAGGAAATATAAAAAACTTACTTGGATACACTGTTGGCAACTACTTCCTGTAAGCTGGCTGCTGTCAAAATACCAGTTTCTTTTCTCTAGTGTCCTTTTAGTTCCCCAAAAAATTGGCTGGGTGTGGTAGCTCACGCCTGTAATCCTAGCACTTTGGGAGGCTGAGGTCAGGAGTTTGAGACCAGCCTGGCCAACATGGCAAAACCCCATCTCTACTAAAAATACAAAAATTAACTGAGTGTGGTGGCATGTGCCTATAGTTCCAGCTACTTGGGAGGCTGAGGCAGGAGAATTGCTTGAACCCAGGAGGCGGAGATTGCAGTGAGCCAAGATCACTCCACTGCACTCCAGCCTGGGCAACAGAGCAAGATGGTCTCAAAAAAAAAAAAAAAAAAAAAGATTTAGAAATACTGTCTCATCACTGAATTTGCAAGTACTTACATTTCTTTATTTTTTAAAATTTTCTTTATTTCTTTAGAGACAGGGGTCTCCCTATGTTGCCTGAGCTGATCTTGAACTCCTGAGCTCAAGCAGTCTTCCCAAGTAGCTGGAATACAGGCGCAGGCCACCATGCCTGGCTGCTTCAGTTTTAAAGACTTTGTCAGCTCAAGCATGTTAATAAAGGAAAAGAACCTTTCAAACATATTTTTATAGAATAATTCTTCACTGTTCTTATCTGGCTTATCTTCTAATACTCTTTTCCTGTTAAAAACTACTGAAAAAAAAGATGGTGCATATGCAATGAATAGTCTTAAAAGCAACAACCTATTTTGTTTTCTTTTTTACCCCTCATGAAGACACAGTACCAATTAGTTTTTGTGAATGTGTTATAAGTATGCCCAATTGTCTGAATTGGTAAATCATATAAGACTGATATAATCTAGATTAATTTAAATTATCTGTTTGTGCAAACAAAAGAAATTGGATTATGTACCCATTAAAATGATATAACCACCTTCTCCTGTTTGTTACCTTTACAGCTCTTTGACAGATGGGTAATAGCCCCTCTTTTCACTTGTGCTATATATATATCACCATTTAAAAGATGATTCTGATCTGCTGCTTTTTTAGGAAATAAAACGTGCTAAAGTCCCACCCCCTTTGATTGGAAAAAGGGGGTAGGAAAAAAGGGGTTTGTCCTTAAGATCACTTATCCTTTTGTTCTGAGGCTTAAAGAAATGTGTTATTTCTTAGATTTATAGAGGCTGTCAAATCATTTAAATCCAAAATATTCTGCTAAGGCTTTCTTGTTACCAAAGAGTAGCAGGAAGCTGCAGTGAGAATGGAACTTAAACCAGGTATGCAAATTCCTCCAAATCACTGCATTAATATGGTGGTCTTGAACCTGAACTTCACTTGGATTTTGCAAAATTTTAATTCTGTCCCTTGCGTTAATTTTATAAGTGGCATCTGGTGGTTAACTAATGATTTTGAAGACCATGAAAGCAAAATACTCACATTATATGGCAGGGTTCATTTCTGTCTTTTAAGCAGTGCCCACTTTCCCACTTCTTTTTGGTAGGAAATGCAGTTCTTATATATTTTGATCCAGCATGTGTACTTTTGACTCCACACCAAGGTGCATCTAGTTAAGCAAAGAAAGTGTCTCGTAAGGGGTTTACATTTTTAAAAATTTTTTATGACCATTATCTAATATATAACCTCTAAATGATAAACCGTGATTCAGCTTCCAAAATGGCACAGTTATTTCAACAGAAAACAGTTCTAAGAAAAGCACAAGATAAAATCTTGAATTGCATCTTAAATACCTTCTAAGACTCACTTCTATTCCTTTTTTCTGCTAACATTGTTGGTGTGCAGCATGCTTTAAAAAAAAGACCTAAACCTTAAATACAATTGTATAACAACATGAAAACATTTAAGTTAAACAGTTTTTTTTTCAGTTTTCAAAATCTTTTTCGCTATGCATGTAGTGAGGTTTGCATAAGTTAAACAAATTTCTATCTCTACTGAATGTGAAACTGGTTTTGAATATTTTTTAATAAAGAATTACACATTTTGCAAACATCGTACTTTTAATCAAATATTTTGTTTTCCTGACTGCCCAAGGAAATGAATGTGATTTCTCCAGAATGGCTCAGTCTTGACTTTCCTAAAGTCCATGGTATAAGGAGAGCCTTGACAGGGTTTAGATAAAAGTTTTAGCTTTTCACCTTATTATTTTTTTGAGACGGAGTCTCACTCTGTCTCCAAGGCTGGAGTACAGTAGCACAATCTCGGCTCACTGCAACCTCTGCCTCCCGGGTTCAAACAATTCTCGTGCCTCAGGCTCCTGAGTAGCTGGGACTACAGGCAAGTGCCACCACCACACCCAGCTAATTTTTTGTATTTTTTTTTTTTTTTTGAGACTGAGTTTCGCCCTTGTTGCCCAGGCTGGAGTGCAATGGCGTGATCTTGGCTCACAGCAACCTCTGCCTCCTGGGTTCAAGCAATTCTCCTGCCACAGCCTCCTAAGTAGCTAGGATTACAGGCATGTGCCACCATGCCCAGATAACTTTGTATTTTTAGTAGAGATGTGGTTTCTCCATGTTGGTCAGGTTGGTCTTGAACTTCTGACCTCAGGTGATCCGCCCACCTCGGCCTCCCAAAGTGCTGGGAATACAGGCGTGAGCCACCGCGCCCGGCCTCACCTTGTTTTAAGAGGCAACGGATTCTAAAATTCTTATACTAAACCAATATAAATTGTTGCACTGTACAAAGTGCTGTAGAATTAAGCCATTATAAAGACACTGTGTAAACAAAATTCTGAACAGATTTTGAAACTTGGAAGTGTGATGTGCTTAGTCAAGACCCCTTGTTTAGCTAAGTACTCGTAACTACAACCTCCTGAGTTATATTCTGGCATCTCATTTTCTAAGTGCTTAGACATAGCAAACTTCTAAATTGAAAAAAATCATTTGCATATGTTTTTCCATTAATAACCCCCAAAGATCTTCTGGAAAACATAATTGTTGAGGTTGAGCATGCTGTTTTAAAATACTTGTTCACTTAAAGTTTGAAGTCAAATTTCTTTCTCCAGCTTTCCTTTTTGTTTGGTATGGTTTAATATGAAACAAAGTTCTGAAAACAAACTTACCTGTCTCAATCATTAATTTTTCACTAGGAATTGACTTCAAAACTTCCAAATTAGCTTCAGTTTTCAGTGAGCTTAAAAAAAAGTGTATATTTATTTTAAAAGGCAGCAATTAACGAATACCTTTTTTCGTATCACAACTTGTCTAAAATGCTACAAAACCAACCCAAAACCCTATAACACTTTGTTTTCAGTATACTTTGGAAAGTATTTGCACACCTCCATACTTCAACAATCCAGATTAACATCTATTTTAACCCAATCTGCCTTCCGGGGATGCAATTTTCCATGCTTATTAGTTGGTTTCCAATAGCGTTCTATATCAGTCTAAGTAAAATTTAACTTTTTAAAAGAATTCATCTGCTTCTGAGTAATTTGCGTAACTTAGAGGTGCTTCTAAGGCTGTAAACGTTCATTTCCTGAATTTTCCATTTTTAGCCCAAGACAGATTCTTCACTCTACTTTAGCAGAATTATGTATCTGCACCCTTGCCATGGTTTCTTTGTAGGATGAACTCTATTCCTTGAATCTGGCGTTGGCCTCAAGACTTGCTATGGCTGCCTGTGGCAGCCTCTATCAGCCAAAACCCAGCTGACTCAAAGATCCATGAATGCAAACATAAATGCTTCCTGTAATGTGGCAGTGAGGTTTGGGATGGTGTAGCATATAATGTGATGACAACTAATACTGTTCTTATATTACTTTAAAAACACAATTTCTCTAATCACAAATTTATTTTAAATTACTTTTTAGAGCAGTTTTAGGTTTACAGCAATAAAAAGTACAGAGATTCCCCAACCATATGCTCCCACTCTCAAAATTCTACACCATAGTGGTAGGTACGTTTATCATTGATGAACCTACCTTGACACAAAACTGTCACCCAAAACCCACAGTTTACATCAGGGTTCACTTGGTTTCATGTGTTCTGTGGGTCTGGACAAATATGCAATGACACGTATCTACCATTGTGGTATCATACTGAATAGTTTCACGGTCTTAAAAATCTATGGTCCGCCTATTCATCCCTCCTTCCCTCTAACCCCTTATCTTTTGACAGTCTCCATAGTTTTGCCTTTTCCAGACTGTCACATAGTTTGAATTACACAGTATGTAGTCTTTTTCAGGCTGCCTTCTTTCACTTGCAAATACACATTAAAATCCCATGTTTTTCATGCTTGATAGTTCATTTCTTTTGGCACTGAATAATATTCCACTGGACATACCACAGTTTATCCATTCACCTACTGAGGAACATCTTGGTTGCTTCCTTATGTAGCATTTTTAATTTCAGCATTTGTTATTACAAAGAATTTAAGATACACATTAAATTAGGTAATATGGACCTCTCATATAGTTATCACCCAGCCCCATCAATCAACACATGGCCAATCCAGTTCCATCCACTTACCCCTATTCCTCTCCTGTATTATCTTAAAAGGAAATTCCAGATGGACAGTTTTAATATTTATTTCAGCATTTAATTCAGGATGTTTCAACATGTATCTCTGAGCATAAGGATTCTTGTTTAAGAAAAACCCAAATCTTCTAGTATTCAAATTTCCAGTTGTCTCAGTGGCATACATTCTAAGTTTGATTAAATTAGGACACAAATGAGAGGCCCACACATTGCAATTGGTCATTGTCTTCTGAAGTCTCAACTTATTAAAATCTCCTGCATCTTTTCCCCCTTCAAATTTATCTGTTGAAGAAACCAAGCTGTTCACGCTGTGGAGTGCCCTAGTCTTGATTTTGCTGATTTCATCTGCGTTGCAGTTTAACAGGTTCCTCTGCCCTCTGTATTTCCTTCTTTCTTCTTCTTTTTTTTTTTTTTTGAGATGGAGTCTCACTCTGTTGCCCAGGCTGGAGTGCGTTGGCAAAATCCCGGCGAGCTGCAACATCCACCTCCCAGGTTCAAGCGATTCTCCTGCCTCAGCCTCCCAAGTAGCTGGGACTACAGGTGCCTGCCACCACGCCCGGCTCATTTTTGTATTTTTAGTAGAGAGGGGGGTTTCACCATGTTGGCCAGGCTGGTCTCGAACTTCTTACCTCAGGCGATCCACCTGCCTTGGCCTCCCAAAGTGCTGGGATTACAGGCACAATCCACCGTGACCAGCCTGCTCTCTTTATTTCTTATAGAAGATCTCGAGTACCATCTACAGGCTGGATAGGATTTGGGTTGGATTTTTTGTGGGGAAGACTATTTCACAGGTGGTGGTGTGATCTTTCATCCACAGGCATATATCTGGTGGTATTTTTGTGATCTAAGGCAGCCATGGATGCCCAATGCATAATTCACCAGGAGCTAGAAAATGCTGATATAATTCTATCAGCCCTTTACTTATTAGAGTACTTCCATAAAAAGAAAATTCTCTATGTCTACTACTTGATTGCTCAAATATATGTAGTTTGTATAAAAAAAATATGTATCTTTCTGTCAAGTGTTGATTCCCTAGCTTCGTCCAATGGTGCTATTACTTTAACATCACCATTTATTTATAATCTTTAAGGAGCTCTTATTCTTTTATGTTCTTTTAGCATTCTGTTCATATTTCATGTCTGTAACATCTCAAATCCCACTATGTTGGGTCGCACTGGGGTTAGTTTTTCTATTTATCTTGGCCTTTTTTCTTTCATGCTTCTGGTTCACCTCATTCGTCTGGTGGTCCTTGGATATCCATTTATATTTTGGGAGGTTGCTAGTGTTGCGTTTCCTTTGCTTTTGTGAAAGCAGGCCTGTTTTACTGCCAGTTCTCTTCTCCTAGTGGGGATTCTTAGTGGGACCTTCTTGTGGGAGTGGGTATATTATGAAACTTCATTTAAAGGTAAGAGTATAGGGAGCTAATTGTTAGGCTCATGGTTCTCTAAATGCTTTTCTTTGGGGATTGATGTAAGCACTCCAAGCCCTAGTCCTCACCATACAGTTTTTTCAATTTTCTTAAGAAAACCCCCACCCCCGGCCCCTGTGTAAATGTTTACTGCTTTTGTCCTCTATGCACAGGAGTGGATATGGGAGTGAGATCTTTTCTCTATATAGGCCCTCAATTAATCATCATTTCTAGTCCGATTTCACACTAATTCTAGGCCCAAAGCCCCCCTATTGGATTTTGCTAGACTTGCTCCCATCTCTTCTGAGGCCCCTTAGTGGTATAATCTAAGCTTTCTCTTTCAGTTTCACCTGTCTTCAGAAATCTACAGAACAGACGGAGTCTCTCACTATCACCTGGGCTGGAGTGCAATGGTGCAATCTCGGCTCACTGCATCCTCTGCCTCCCGGGTTCACACAATTCTCCTGCCTCAGCCTCCCAAGTAGCTGAGATTACAGGCGCACACCACCACACCCAGCTAATTTTTTTTATTTTTAGTAGAGACAGGGCTTCACTATGTTGGCCAGACTGGTCTCGAACTCCTGACCTCGTCATCTGCCTGCCTCAGCCTCCTGAAGTGCTAGGATTACAGGCATGAGCCACTGCGCCTGGCCTCTTTTTTTTTTTTTTTTTTTAATTTAAGAGATGGGGGTCTCATTATGTTGCCCAGACTGGTTACGCCTATAGCTCTAGCTACTGAGGATGCTGTGGCAGGACCATCACTTGAACTCCTGAGCTCACCCAACTACAGAACATTTCTTAGCAAAACTCTGGCCCTTTTTCTTTGCTATTACAGATTCTTTCCTTTTTCAGTATCTATAATTTTATTTTAGTAGGATTTTAGGAGGGGTGGGTGAGATGTCATTAGTTTGACATTAAGTAGCAATTAGTGCTCTCTAGAAAAACAAAATTCTTATTTTCAGCCAGCTTGGTCAATACAGTTATTTTCTAAAATATATTGATGTGCTTGGTATGGATAGTATATTTAGAACTTTTCACTAAATTTTCAGATTATTTGTATTTTTGATCTCACTAAATCATGTCTGATTAACTTAATATTCTTCTGTGTCTATTCTATGACTGTAAAATTTGCCCAAATATATATACTAATAAACATTTTAAATACAAGCCAGTATTTCTATTTAATAAGGCTTCCCATTTAGTGATGAGCAACTACACGATTCTGAAGTCAAGTTTGAAATACATCTTCCCATTTTCTTTTTTTTTGAGATGGAGTCTCACTCTGTCGCCCAGGCTGGAGTTCAGTGGGTGATCTCGGCTCTCTGCAAGCTCCGCCTCCCGGGTTCACGCCATTCTCCTGCCTCAGCCTCCCGAGTAGCTGGGACTACAGGCGCCCGCCACCACACCCGGCTAATTTTTTTGTATTTTTAGTAGAGACAGGGTTTCACTTTGTCAGCCAGGATGGTCTCGATCTCTTGACATTGTGATCCGCCCACCTCAGCCTCCCAAAGTGCTGGGATTACAGGTGTGAGTCACTGCGCCCGGCCCCCATGTTCTTTTTTTTTTTGAGACACAGTCTGGTCTGTTGCCCAGGCTGGAGTGCAGTGGCATGATTTCGGCTCACTGAAACCTCCGCCTCCTGGGTTCAAACGATTCTCCTGCCTCAGCCTCCCGAGTAGCTGGGACTACAGGTGCCCACCACCATGCCCAGCTAATTTTTGTATTTTTAGTAGAGATGGGGTTTCACCATATTGGCCAGGCTGGTCTTGAACTCCTGACCTTGTGAACCACCCACCTTAGCCTCCCAAAGTGCTGGGATTACAGGCGTGAGCCACAATGCCTGGCCATCTTCCCATTTTCTTGGGGGAAAAATTCTAATTTAACTTTTAGGAACCAAAGACTTTATGTAATATGCTACTATAAGTGGATTAAGTTATCATTCCTCAGAGACTCAGATTAAGATGATAATGAATTAGATTTGAAAATAAGAATATAAACATCCACTTTAATAAATGACTAACCTATTAATTCTGAAGCTAATATTAATGTAGGAGAAAAGAATCTTTTGTGATTAGCTTAAACTAACATCCTAATGAACTCAAGATCATTTAGAAATATCTAAGACAGGAGCCAGGTACGGTGGCTCATGCCTGTAATCCAAGCACTCTGGGAGGCAGAGGCAGGTGGATAGCTTGAGCTCAGAAGTTTGAGACCAGCCTGGGCAACATGGTGAAACCCCATCTCTACAAAAAGTACAGACATTAGCCAAGCATGGTGATAGGAGCTTGTGGTCTCAGCTATTATACTTGGGAGGATCGCCTGAGCCCAGGAGGTCGGGGCTACAGTAAGTCGTCCAGCCTGAGAGGCAGAGTGAGACCCTGTCTCAAAAAAAAAAAACAACAACTAAGAATTATGGTTTTAAGTTGGTAAAATAAAGATCTTCTACCCCCTTCTCTTAAAAAAAAAAAAACAAAACCAAACTTACAGGGAGAAAACCAGGATTTTTTTAAATGAAACTAGGAGACATATGTTACCCCAAATCACAACATATAGCTGAAAGTGGACAGAGAAATGATAAAAGACCAGTGTTTAAGTGCCAAGTAACTTAAATGCTATGTGCCTGGAAAGAAAGACAAACAAACCTAGAAGTAGATACAGTCCCTAGAAAGTGGAGTAAGGCAGGGACTGAAATGGAGATTCTTTGAGAAAACTCCAAGAGAAGATGGGGTTCCTAGGTTATGTATCTGTGACTTGGTGCAGAGAAAGAGGTGCTGGGTCTCAAGACAATCCACATCAGAAACAGCTGGAGAACAACAAGCACAGAGGAGTACAGGCGTCAGGCACAGGCCTGAGCATGGAGACTGGGGCAGCCCACTAAACAGTGAGATCCTCTAACCCATCCTGCTCCAAAATACTGTCAGGGACATTTACAAACCCCTTCCCTCCACTGTTCCCCACTTTTCCAGCAGAGAACACAGGATCCCTTTCTGGAGAAACTGAACCAACCCAGAAAAAGATCTCTACAAACTGACATTTGGGAATCCCTAGCAAAAAGTCAGTTGGCCATCTGAGCCTGCCAGTTGCTGGAATGCCTTCTAGAGAGCTTCCAAATGGCTTTTTTTTTTCTTTTTTTAAATAGACAGTGAAGGACTGCCTGACATTTGAAGAAAGTTTCCATCATCACAGAGACCAAAGGAAAGAAGAAAAGGTGACTGTGAGGAAACAAATGCAGGAAGACAAGCAGAAAGTAACTTTAAACTATAATTCATGTCTTTAGAGAGATGAGAAGACACTGCAGTATAAAAATAGAGTATTCAGAAATTGAAAACAAAAGTTGAAGTAAATTTCATAAAAAGGGTTACAAAATATAGCACTTTTTTTGGAAGGAGGGAAACAATGGAAATAGAATAAAAAGAATACGAGTTATCAGTCTAGTATGCCCAAGAAAAGAACAGAAGAGAAAAATCAAATTCCAAGGACGGGTAAAGATGTGCCCCCCACTGGAAGGGCTAATGAAAAAGCAACACCAGGCGTGATGAAAACCATCAACACACACCTTCGTGAAATTTCACATCAGAGATGAAAAACTAAAACCTTTCACAAGAGAAGAAAACTAGGTCACAGGTAAAGGATTAGGAATCAGAGTAGCAACTTTTCATCAACACTGGAACCTACTGATGGGACAGTATAAATTCTCAATGAAAATGATTTCTGATCTTGAATTTTATTCAAGAGAACTATCCATTGAAAGTGGGGGGCTGGGTGTGGTGGCTCACACCTGTAATCCCAGCACTTTGGGAGGCCGAGACGGGCAGATCACGAGGTCAGGAGGTCGAGACCATCCCGGCTAACACAGTGAATCCCTGTCTCTACTAAAAATACAAAAACAAAAAAAATAGCCAGGTGTAGTGGCGGGCACCTGTAATCCCAGCTACTCGGGAAGCTGAGGCAGGAGAATGGCGTGAACCCGGGAGGCGGAGCCTGCAGTGAGCCAAGATCGCGCCACTGCACTCCAGCCTGGGCGACTGAGTGAGAGTCCCTCTCAAAAAAAAAAAAAAAAAAGTGGGGTTCTCTCCCCTTTCATTAACTATCCAGGCTAACTTGTAAGAGGAAGAGCAGAAAAAAAATTCATTTTCAAAATGGGAAGATGTATTTCAAACTTGACTTCAGAATCGTGTAGTTGCTCATCACTAAATGGGAAACCTTATTAAATAGAAATACTGGCTTGTATTTAAAAGAAACTTAATTCCCATGAAAACATCCTCAGAGGATGTTATAGAATGTGTTCCACTAAAACAAACACGCAAGGAATACATGGGATCTAAAAATAGGAACTAGTCCAAATTGAAACACATGGAAGGGTCTGCAACTGACGGAACTATTAGATTATCTACATAGGTTTGCTCATGTGGTATACTGTGCTTAACATTTCTTTTCTTGTACTACTTTTTGTTTTCCTGGATTAACCTCCCTCATATTTTTATTTACTTGGCTTTCTTAAACTTGAAGCCCAGCCTGGGCACATAGCAAGACCCTGTCTCAACTAAAAATTTAAAAAATAGCCAGGTGTGGTGGCATGCACCAGTAATACCAGCTACTCAGGAGGCTGAGGTGGGAGGGTTGCTTGAGCCTGGGAGGTCAAGGCTGCAGAGTTGTGATCACGCCACTGCATTCCAGCTTGGGCTACAGAGCAAGCAAGTCCCTATCTTTAAAAAGAAACCAAAAAACAAAAAACTTGAAACCCTCTCATACTTGGCATAGCACTGTGAAATTATATATTTATATAGGCATAATAAGGAAACAACATTTATATAGACATAATAATGAAAACATTGAGTATGCATATAACCAAAAATTCTGAAATAACGACATTGAGAGTGATATGCAGAGAATGGAGGTAGGGGATTAGTACGGGATATAAGAACTAATGTGCTCATATACCCCAATGAGAATAGACAAAGGGGATGAATCAAGAGACAATAGTATATGGATATTATTTAGAAATATGGTGACAAATAGCAAAATTATTGCTGCTACAAAAGCTGACTTGGGGTAAGGTCATGCTGGGGGGACTCTGATATTTGTTCATATCTGTTAGTACTACTTGACTTTTTAATCTCTATGCATATATTCCCTTGCATATTAATTAATTTTAAAGTTAATTAAACCATTAATTTAAATATGAAAGCATCTTAGACATTTAAACTCTGAACTCTAGAGCAAATACATAATTCCATGATTCTATTTCCCTAGATTTTAGTCAAAAATAATGCAATTGGAAACATAATAATTTTAAGGGTATGAGACAATGAAGAAGGACAGAAACTCCTATACTATTTTGCAACTGATTTAATAGGCTACACTGACATCCTGTGAAAAGTCACTGGTAGAAGCTCTTACATATGTGACAAAACCAACCCAGAGACCTAGCTGTGCTAGCTGACTGTACTGAGTGTGTGAAGTTTAGTGTGGTACAACAGCAGAAAGATCACAGAGTGAGAAGCCAGAGGACATGGGTTCTCATACTTGGAGAAACTCTATACCTGTTTCCTAATTTCTTTGAGCCTCGGTTTCTTTGACTGCAGAGATGTATGACTGTCACAGAATAAACCGTTCGTCCATAGTCAGATATGACGTGTATATGTATACATAATGCTGTGAACACATGTTTTCAAGGGATCAAATGACCTGAGAATAAATTGGATTACCAGAGAAAGCCAGCTGCAGATCTCAACACAAAATTGTTTTCCATTATTAGAACATAATGTAGTAGTCTATAACTTTCGAGCTTTAACTTTTAATAGTAATGTACTGTTTAATTTCTTAATAAATAATTACTGAAATTCCCAGCAAAGATCAATGCAAACACACACAAACTTTAATGAAAATAAATCTTCATCAGCAATTCACTGTAAGACAATTTAAGAAATCTGCTTAAATAAAAGTTAAAAACCAAAGCAACCTAAGAACGTACCAACCATTAAATCCTATATAAAGATCCAAGTCAATCAAAGCAGCTGCTGCTTCCTTGGTACCATCAAATGAATGCACCTGGGGACATACAGGTATAAGTTTATTATTATAATAATTACTCTTTAAAATTCTAAGTGACATTAATAAGACTTTGTAGGCAAAAATATAGATCCCTGTAAGTTTTTGGACCTCAGGGTTTCAAAGGTGGTAGTCGCTATAATTTTTATTTTCATATTATTTTTCACAATTACAACCTGTCATCATCTCCAGTGACATGATGCAAAACGTTAGCTGCCGAGAATTTCTCTCTTTAGAGTGGCAGTGTTGCTGTCTCTGCACTAGCATTAGTGCAGAAGCTCCAGGAAGGGGTTTAGGAATAGATATATTCTTAGGCAAAAACATGAGGAAAGCTTAGTAATTTTATGGCACTATTTAAAAGAATTTTTAAAATACTGATGAATTTTCTGTTAGAGGATACTTTTTTTTTTTTTTTTGAGATGGAGTTTTGCTCTTGTTGCCCAGGCTGGGGTGCAATGGCGCGATCTTGGCTCACTGCAACCTCCACCTCCCTGCTTCAAGAGATTCTCCTGCCTCAGCCTCCTGAGTAGCTGGGATTACAAGCATGCGCCACCACGCCTGGCTAATTTTGTATTTTTTTTTTTTTTAGTAGAGATGGGGTTTCTCCATGTTGGTCAGGCTGGTCTTGAACTCCCGACCTCAGGTGATTCGCCCGCCTCGGCCTCCCAAAATGCTGGGATTACAGAGGTGAGCCACCGCGCCTGGCCGAGGATACTTTTTTGTGGAAGAGAAATTACTTTTAAGAGGCAAGGCTGGGCCAGGCGCAATGGCTCACGCCTGTAACCCCAGCACTTTGGGAGGCTGAGGCTGGTGGATCACCTGAGGTTGGGAGTTCGAGACCAGCCTGACCAATGTGGAGAAAACCCATCTCTACTAAAAACACAAAATTAGCTGGGCATGGTGGCGCATGCTTGTAATCCCAACTACTCGGGAGGCTGAGGCAGGAGAATTGCTTGAACCTGGAAGGCGGAGGTTGCGTTGAGCTGAGATCACATCATTACACTCCAGCCTGGGCAACAAGAGTAAAACTCTGTCTCAAAAACAAAAACAAAACAAAAAAAGAGACAAGGCTGAAGAAATTCTTATAAATGGGTGAGACTGTTGCTTAAAAAGCATAAACTGTAATCTCAGCAATTTGGGAGGCCGAGGTAGGCAGATCACAAGGTCAGGAGATCAGCGAAACTGTCTCAAAAAAAAAAAAAAAAGCATAAACCATTATATAATCAATAATATCAGCTTAGCAAGCAGAAGGGATTGAGATGCTATTTCTCTCCTTCAAAGATATAGGGGTCAAGACATAGTTTTCATAGTTTGGATGTATTTATATAATCAAAAACAACATATAACAACAGCCCTCCTTTAAAAAGTAGGTTCACCTAAACAAGTGACATCACATTACTACTGAGTCCAGAGAGCCTGAATACACTATGGATAACATATTTCTCAACAATAAAGAAGCCTGCATTACACAGCTGCCTGCATTATTCTTTCCTTCACCATTTCCAGCTGACTAGAAAAGATGCCCTCCATTAATATCGAAATCATTTTAAAAGTGACTCCTCATAAACCATTTCAGAAAACTAGTTATTAATTATTTGGCAATTTCTTTTTTGGTAAAAGTCAAACATTTAGGTTGGATTTGTTGTTGCTTTTGTTAATTTTAAAAACTATTAATAGAACCCAAGTAAATTCTTATTTAGAAATAGGCTGGGCACAGTGGCTCCCATCTGTAATCCCAGCACTTTGGGAGGCCGAGGCAGGTGGATCGCTTGAGGTCAGGAGTTCAAGACCCACCTGGCCAACATGATGAAACCCTGTCTCTACTGAAAATACAAAAATTAGCCAGGCGTGGTGGTGCGTGCCTGTAGCCCCAGCTACTCGGGAGGCTGAGGCAAAAGAATTGCTTGAACTTGGAAGACAGAAGTTGTGGTGAGCCAAGATCGTGCTATTGCACTCCAGCCTGGGTGACAGAGCAAGGCTCTGTCTCAAAAAAAAAAAAAAAAAAAAAAGAAAAAGAAAAAAAGAAAAGAAATAAAGCAAATGGGCTGAGAGGTAGAGTCTGAAGGTTAGGATAAATACCACTAATAATCCCAACGGCATTAGTTAAAACTAAAACCCCTCTCAATTCTTAAGTACAGTTCCTACAGGATAAATTACAGAGTAAGTAAAAACAGGAAAAAATTACAGAGTTAGTACAAACAGGAAAAAAGTGCACAGTAATATTAACATTACAGCAATGCAGGATGCATACATATTACTAGTAGTATAGATGAGGCAGAGGTTGAACTTAGAGAATACGCATAAAACTGTCAACGTCAGGCCGCATGGGAATGCAAGTGCTTGGTGCTATTTCCTCTTTCCTTAGCAGGCATAGTGTAACTGTGATTTAATCTACCTGGATTACAGTTCTTTTGCTAGACACAGTCACTCACTGAGTCACTCTCCTGAAATTGCATATGAATATATGTATATCTGAGCATTTTTCTAAGGCAGGTTTCCAAAGGAGTCCATGATCGAAGAGACTAAAAATCATGGCTGGGCAAGGTGGCTCATGCCTGTAATCCTAGCACTTTGGGAGGCTGATGGGGGGAGGATCATGAGGTCAAGAGATCGAGACCATCCTGGCCAACATGGTGAAACCCCGTCTCTACTAAAAATACAAAAATTAGCTGGACGTGGTGGTGTGCACCTGTAGTCCCAGGTACTTGGGAGGCTGAGGCAGGAGAATTGCTTGAACCCAGGTGACGGAGGTTGCAGTGAGCTGAGATTGTGCCACTCCACTCCAGCCTGGTGACAGAGCGAGACTCCATCTCAAAAAAAAAAAAATCACTGCCATAGATATCGGAGGTATGTGGTTAGCAGATAGTATTTATGGGAAATGTCTCCAGAATAATGACTAAAATGGCTATATCAGAGAAGTGTTTAGTGCAGAATGCAAATTACAGAAAGGAGAATGACTCTCTAGATCAGAATAGTAGGTGAATACAGCGGACAAGAAATGAGAAAGGCAAACCTAAAACAAATGGTAAAATATTTCAAAACATAAAAATTAGTTTATATTTGCTCAAAATTTGGATGGAAGAACATTAAAGAACAGCTGACAGAAGAGACGAAGAATATCATGCACAGCATTAGGATGTGTAGAATTCAAGGGCCAGGCACAGTGGCTCACACCTGTAATCCCAACACTTTGGGAAGCCAGGGTGGGCAGATTGCTTGAGTTTAGGAGTTCGAGATCAGCCTAGGCAACATAGTAAAACTTCATCTCTACAAAATATACAAAAAAATTAGCTGGCCATGGTGGCACATGCCTGTAGTCCCAGCTACTTGGGAGGCTGAGGATGGCTTGATCCCGGGGAAGCAGAGGTTGCAGTGAGCTGAGATTGTGCCACTGCACTTCAGCCTGGATGACAGAGCCAGACCCTTTCTTAATAACCAAAAAAAAAAAAAAACAAAAAACACACACAAAAAACAAAAAAAATTTCACAGGGTTTTCTTGTGAATGGAATTCTGTACGCATTCTTGTACTTTGAACAAAGGAACTGTAATTAAAACTGATTTGTGTTTATGCCACACCTGGTCCATAAATTCAACAGTAAATTTACATGTCTTTCAAAGGATGGGAAAAGAAGCTCCTAATTCTATTGAATTCTATCTAATTCCTATGTTTTTCTTTGTTATTCCTTTTTAAAAAAAATTTAAATGTTGACATCTGAATTAGGGGCCATCCTTAATAACCAAGATGCTTTGTGTGTCACATAAATGTTAAGTATCCCTTATCCCAAGTGTGTGGGACCAAAAGTGTTTCATATTTCAGATTTTTTCAGATTTTGGAATATCTGCATATACATAAAAAGAAATCTTTGGGAAGGGACTCAAGTCTAAACATGAAATTCATTTATGTTTCACATACACCTTATACCACACCCTGAAGGTAAATATTTTAAATAATTTTGTGCGTGAAACAAAATTTGTGTACAATGAATAATCAGAAAGCAAAGGTGTCATTATCTCATGCCAGTGCTTAAAAAGGTTCAGATTTTGGAGCATTTTGTACTTGGGAGTATTTTGGATTTTTGGATTAGAGATGTTCAACCTGTATTAAAAATGACTATTTTATACTTACCACTCCCCCTACACACCGATCTCTATTTCTTTTCATTATGTCTGTGAATTAAAAACAAAGAACTTTTAGCAAATAGCTTGATTTCTACAAAATTCTTAAGTTCTGAATGAGACTTTGGTTTTAACTCACCCAAAAATTCAGCATGTGAGTTTCGACAATGAAGAAACATTGGTAATTTTGTTTGTTCTGACAGTTCAAACTGTTTTTCAAAATATCTGCATAATGCAAAAAAAAAAAATTCTCATTACAAATTGTATTTTAGCATGAGGAAGGTAATGATGTCAAAAGAGCTTTTAAATTAAAGGTATTTAATTCTCTAGAAATTACAGGACAAAAATCATGAATATTTAAAGCACATCAGGCTTATCAAAGGGCTTTTATAACTTACAACTTCTGGAAAGAAATACTTCATTTTCTGGGCTTACAAAATTATCTGGGCCCTTTAATTTTCAGAAAGTAACACCACTGGCCCCTTGCCACTGGGAGCACCATCAGTGGGAGTCAACTCACCAAGCGAGAAGCCCAGGAGAGCTTCATACTGCATGCTAATCTATTCCATTTTGCAACCAGTTTTTTATGTGCTGTTATAAAAGAAGTTATTGCCACTGGGCAAAATGAACAAGGTTTCCCTCAAAAATGAAATCTAAGTATTTGCTAAACAGCAAATAACTCAATTATGCTATTAAAAAAAGAAAATTACATGATAAAGTGGTAGCCCTGAATATCTTAAAGAGTACTTGATAAGAAGGTTTTTCCAAGTACCAGATACCATTGTCTCATTTGATCCTCAAAATAACCTGAGTATAAAAGCTGGTGTCAGAGAGGTGTAGTACTTTGTCCAAGATAACAATACCTGGCATGGCCAACTTGGAACAGAACTTCACTGCTCTAATTCCAAGTCCCAGCCTAAACGACAAAAACCTGTTACGTTTTCAAGAAGCTTCCTTCTGGTCCCGGAGTATAATGACAATATTCAGAGGATACAACGAATGTTCATTCTGTTTGTCTTTTCACTTCAACACAGTGCTCCCCCTTGTTCTCACAAATGGTAGGTTCAACTGAATCAGGATAACAGGTGGCTTATTATTTTCTTAAATGTGCTTACCTCTTCTAAGCACTTTAATTTGGGGAAACAATTTCTCTGTTTAACTTAAGCCTCTCTTGCTATATTTTTCTATATCATATTTCCTGATGTGCAGGACTATTTTACCCCCTTTGCTCTCTTGAAAATGCTAAATTTTAAAATTAGAAATAGAAATGTACTTCTTAAGAAGCAGTCTTCAGGCCGGGCGTGGTGGCTCACACCTGTAATGCCAGCACTTTGGGAGGCCAAGGCGGGTGGATCACTCAAGGGCAGGAGTTCAAGACCAGCCTGGCCAGCATGGTGAAACCTCGTCTCTACTAAATATACAAAAATTAGCCGGCATGTTGGCACATGCCTGTAATCCCAGCTATTCGGCAGGCATGAGAATCTCTTGAACCCAGGGTCAGAGGTTGCAGTGAGCTGAGATTGTACCACTGCACTCCAGCCTGGGTGAGAGAGCAACATTCTGTCTCAAAAAAAAAAAAAAAAATTAAAAATTAAAAAAATAGAAATAGTCTTCCTAAAATAGGTCGTCTATGTCTGTATTACCAAATGTTTGGGTTTTAAAATCTCCTTTTCAGATTCTGCTGGGTTAGAATAAGCAAAAATATTTTCCTTTCATTAACAAAGTGCTGAAATTTTGCAGTGTAGGAAATATTAACGACAACTTGGACAAAAAGAGATTTTGATAATATAACCAGTCACTATTTCCATAACCTCTAAAGTAAACCAAATGTCAGCAGTTAAGTGTGCACTAGTCATTATGTCAACTTTACTAATATATTTGGCTCTGACTACACACAGCAGGCGGTACTCTTCATTGTGTGCACTGCTCCACGCTGTACTGGTTATTTTTTCCACACACAATTCCATGGACCAAACCACATGACCAAGCTACAAATTCACAGTATCTAATGGTCGGATGGAAAATTAGCTTCCTATAGGAATGTAGGCAAAAGTACAGTTTATGAAAATAACAGAGGCCAGCTGGGTGTGTGGTTCAGGCCTGTAATCCCAGCACTTTGGGAGGCTGAGGTGGGTGGATTGCTTGAGCTCAGGAGTTCGAGACCAACCTGGGCAACATGGTGAAACCCCATCTCTACAAAAAATACAAGAATTAGCCAGGTGTGGTAGCATATGCCTACAGTCTCAGTTCTTGGGAGGCTGAGGTGGGAGGATTGCTTGAGCCTGGCGAGGTCAAGGCTGCGGTGAGCCATGATCACACCACTGCACTCCAGCTTGGATGACAGAGTGAGACCCTGTCTCAAAGAAAAAAGAAAAAGAAAATAACAGAAGCCCAAGCAATGGGCCCACAGAATTTTACATAATTCAAGAAAAGAAAGGTCCCTGAAGTCATGCTAGCTACGTATCATAAAGAAGCCATGTGGTAAAAAAAATTATTCCTAATGATACAAATTGAGGATAACTAGTACTGAACATCAAACGACTATTATCTTTAGAGAAGAAAAACCCGCCATGGTAACTAGAAATAACTGTATAAGTTACAGGGTAGGAATTGGCATCTATTAAGAGACTTCTCTGCCTGTTTTACTCACTTATTATTTTTTTAAAGTTCATAAATGAAAATAATTTTCCACTTGAGTTATTTGCTCATCTTAGTGAAGCTTCTGATTTTATTACTGCTTCTTACAGTTGAGGTTTAACTATCTAACGACAAGAGCTGGAAAAGTTCAGCTTCAGGAGCAGTTGTTATTAATTAGGATCAAGGCAAATCCAAAAAGCCCAGTGAGTTTCATGGGTATACCTCAACACAAGTAGTAATCCCTCCTCTGTAAGCTGCTTGATGGCAACATGGCCTCAATTGCTCATCTCTAGGGTCCCCTAAATCCCCAAAGGATTGTTTTAAAATCTTCTTGTTGTAGTTTTTAAGACCTGCACAGTGTTAACATTTTAAAGCCCCAAGAAAAATGCCCAAAGCAAATTCCTCCTACCCAAGAGAACAGAGCTCTAAATTGCAACAAGGAAAGGAGTGTAGCATAAGGCCAGGAAATTGAAAATACAGGGTATGGCTTAAAGGATAAACTTTCCATAAGTAGATCAGGCCTTTCCTTGTTTTCACTCTTTGCTTCTCTTTCTTAGTCTTTAAAAAATACTTTTTCCAGAAAAGGTCTAGGTACTAAAACAAGAAAAAAGTATTAAAAAAAAAAACTTTTAAAAGTTCCAAACAAAAACAATAGCTAGCATCTTCCTTTAGGGTGGTAATTATTTCTAGTATGAGGAATGTAACAACAGCCATGATTGTGCACATACTCTGCATGACTCATGTCACTATGGGCTTTATGTGCCTTATGTTAAGAAAGGTAGGCAGCAATCTCCCCATTTTAAAGGGGATGCACAAAGGGATGAAGTGACACCAAAGGCAGTTGTAAATCTCACCCAAAGATCTGCTGATTCCAAAGCTCATCCTTTTAACATGGTCATACACCGCCTTCACTTACCATTATTTTTCAGACACTACATCTATTGTATATTAATTTTTCTGTCTTGCCCCCTAATTTTCTATTTTTCTTTTCTCATACATCTCCTTTTTCCTGACTACATATTTACTTAAAAACAAATCATGGCCGGGTGCAGTGGCTCATGCCTGTAACCCTAGCACTTTGGGAGGCCGTGGTGGGCGGATCACTTGAGGTCTGGAGTTCGAAACCAGCCTGGCCAACATGGTGAAACTCTGTCTCTACTAAAAATACAAAAAAATTAGCCAGGCATGCTGATGGGCACCTGTAATCCCAGCTACTTGGGAGGCTGAGGCAGGAGAATTGCTTGAACCTGGGAGGTGGAGGTTGCAGTGATCTGAGATTGCACCACTGCACTCCAGCCTGGGGGACAGAGTGAGACTCCATCTCAAAAAACAAACAAACAAACAAACAAACACAATCATACACTGGTTGTTCCAGATGGTAGAAAAGTGCAGACCAAAATCTGAAGTCTTCCAAAAATAAACCCAATAGTGAAAGCTGAATTATAGGCTTTTTATCCATGCTGCTCAAAGGGAATAAAAAAGAAAAGAACCTTCCCTCTGTATTAAATATTCAACAGACATTTACTAAGTGCCTACCATGTGCTGAGAGTACTGTGCTAAGTGCTATGGAACTGTCACATGAGTAAGACTTGGTGTGTGCCTTTGAGGAACTCAAAGACACCTGTCTGTTGCGGGGAGGAAGGGATAATGAAAACCCATTTCTGTACAACATGGTAAGTGCTGAAACAAGTAGAGTGCTGTGTATACAAAACAGATTGCATGCTGTGAGTATATGCGAGGGGAAAAGGAGTGAGGGGCAGAGAATGTGGGTATTTGTTTCCTTAACAATAATCAAAATGTGATTGTTACTAGTGTGTCTTTTTTTTTTCTTTTGAGCGGAATCTTTCTCTGTTGCCCGGGCTGGAGTCCAATGTCACGATCTTGGCTCACTGCAACCTCCTCCTCCCCAGTTCAAGCAATTCTCCTGCCTCAGCCTCCCAAGTAGCTGGGATTACAGGTGCTCGCCACCACGCCTGGCTAGTTTTTGTTTTTAGTAGAGACGGGGTTTCACCATGTTGGTAAGGCTGGTCTTGAACTCCTGATCTCAGGTGATCGGCCTGCCTTGGCCTCCCAAAGTGCTGGAATTATAGGCATGAACCACCGCACCCGGCTGTTTTTTTAACCAAGTCATTTGATGTTTTATTATTAAAATTTTAAAAATCTCAAGTAGAACTGCCTATCTTATCAAAATTTCCTCCTACTTTGTCATTAGCTTATCCACTCTGGAAGAAGCCAGTGTCATATGCTGTCACCTTAGAGCATCCCCCAGAAAGTCAGTCCTTCCCTCTGCTGTTCACATACTTTAGTAAGCACTTCCAACCTATTTTAATTATTTATGTCCTCTCTTGGAAAAAGTCTTATTCTTCTTTGTATCATGCTGAGGAGGCACTTGGTAATCATTTACTGAATGTAGTTTGAACCTCTCTATTAGCAATTAACGCTTGGCATGTGAGTTCAAGCACAAGCTGTGATATGCATATTCTAAGATCAGACGCTATTCTGATGATGGTGAAGAATCTTCAGAACAGTTAAATTAAACTGATACTGTCAATGTTTTCGATTAATCCCAAAAGTGAGTTTAAAGTATTGAGGTTGCATTTTAGAATCAGTTCTAACTCATTTTGGATGAAAAGTCATATGGGCAAAAAAACACGGGGACTCTGCCATTGCCCTTGCTTGTCATAACACAGTCTATTAGACTTACAAGGCTTATCCTGACCAAAACCAGACATGAAAGTTGAGGAATATGATATCTGGGCTTAACCTAAAGAACTATTAAAGAGAACTGTTTTTCTATTTCAATGTGAACACGAGAACTTTTAAGGTTAAGTGAGCTGGCCTACATAATATTCGACAGAGGTATAGGGCTTCAGTAACCCTGCTAGTAACCACATGAATGTCCCTGAAAGGCACAGCAAATCAGCAAATAATATACCACAAACTAAACAGTTCTACAAGGGATGTACAAATGAGCGACCTAAAAGAGAGAGTAGGTATCCACAGAGCATTACGTTAACCCATCCTATTCTACTTGGTTATAGATCTTCACACTTCAGAACTTTGGAGCTTGAGGTCTAGGGTATGACAGACTCCACTAGCAGATCTGCTCCTCCCCAAAGTGATTTTCAACCAGGGGGTACATATCAGAATCCCATTTGTGGGGAGCAGGGAGGGAAGCGGGAGGAAGTACACTTTCCTCATGCGTAATTTAAAAAAATCCCTTCAGGCCATCAAGTCACTGGCTTAATCATATGATCATATCACCATATGACAAAATTATTAATTGTTAAACATTATGATATAGCTGGATGGTATCTTAAGAGAGAATCTGATCCTAATTCTTCTTTGTGTATAAGAAACTAAGGAGGACAGAGGATTGTTTATTCTTAAAGGTCTCTAGGGACAGATATTCTACCTTATTCATATTTCTGCATACTATGAGCTCTCAGCAGTGGCTGGCACACAGTACTCCATAAATATTTGTTCAATGGATGAATAAATTAACCCCCTTTAGAAGCTCAGTCTAATGTTTTATCATTTTCATAATTAAGATGTTTTTGAAATTCAACAAAATGCTTACGTTTTAAATTCAGACTGTGACCTAAATTTTCTTTTCAATCTATAACACTCACCCACCAGTATGATGACAGGAGCTCCAAATTTAGCTCCAGGCAATGGGTTACAGGAAGTCCTGCAGGGTCGTGAGCTTTGGAGTTTTCTCAGAAGCCACCATTCAACATGGCTCCTATTAAAGGAATCTCACAGTTCCAAACTAGCAATATTCAATGCCCAGCAAGAGTAAAATAAGCTTTTCTAGCTTTGGTGATTGATCCTATAATACTTTTGTGGGTTTTTTCTTGCTGGTTTTTTTTAGAGACGGAGTCTCCTTATGTTGCTCAGGCTGGTCTGGAACTCTTGAGCTCAAGCAATTCTCCTGCCTCTGCCTCTCAAACAGCTGCGACTACAGACGCAGGCTGCTGTGCCTGGCTTGTAATACACTTTTAATATCCTTTGCTCTTAAATTATATCTCCCAATTTGGGAGGCCGAGGCGGGTGGATCATTTGAGGTCAGGAGTTTGAGACCAGCTTGACCAATATGGTGAAACCCAATTTTTACTAAAAACATAAAAATTAGCCGGGCATGGTGGCACATGCCTGTAATCCCAGCTACTCGGGAGGCTGAGGCAGGAGACTCATTTGAACCCAGGAGGTGGAGGTTGCGGTGAGCTGAGATCACGCCTCTGCACTCCAGCCTGGGCGACAGAGAGACTCTGTCTCAAAAAACAAAACAAAACAATCACATTCCCCAAAATAATTTAATTCATTCCATTGGAACTGTTCACGTATGAATGCGTCTGTTAAACAAGCAAACAGAAAATGTAAAATCTCTATCATGTAAAACTCATCCCTAATTTCTACCATTACAATAAAATTAAATGGTTAATCAACCAGGGAACTATGTGCTTCCATCCCTTATGAATTACATGCAAGTATGCATGGAATTTGTTTCACTTACTTTTGATATACAAAGGGAAAAACAAAAATATCCTCATGCTTAATCCAACTATACTCTCACCTGATACAAGATATTTTAAAAATCACTCATGATTTTACAATAATTTGTAAAGCCAACAAATTTCCTTACTTGAGTTGAGTATCTTTGGGACAAAACTGCAGTCGGTCAAAATCTTTAAAAAGATAAAGAAGAATAATTACTCCTAACTTATACAGAACAAATTACTTATTTTCAAACAATGTCACTCTAAGAGGCGAGGCTGGCACTCACCAAGTCCGCATTCTCCTATTGCCACAACTTTCCCTTTATTGTTTTCAGCAAGATTTAGCAACTCCTTTAAGTAAAGATCAGGGTTATTCTTTTCAAATTCACCACATCTTGTAGGATGACATCCAACTGTACTGAAAAACATACCTAACAGAAAATAATGTCTTAGGATTATTTTCAAAGTATTTTCTCATATTTATATTTATTATGATATTTAGAGGATATCAAGTAATTTCAACTGGTTTTCAACAATGGCAATAAATTACTCAAATTATAAGAACTGCATTATGTTAATCATATGACAATTTTTAGAATACCTAAACAAAGTAGGAGATGAATATGAAAATTGCTTTAATGTATTAATAAAATAATTCAACTTTTTCTAAAGCTTGGCATTTAGGGCTGTAGAATGCAAAGTGAAATTTTTTTTTTTTTTTGAGACAGGGTGCCACTGTGTCACCCAGGCTGGAGTGCAGTGGTGCTATCACAGCTTACTGCAGCCTTGACCTCCTGGGCTCAAGCGATCCTCCCACCTCAGCCTCCCACGTAACTGGGGCTACATACGCATGCCACCACACCTGGCTAATTTTTAATTTTTTTTTTTTTGGTAGAGACAGGGTTTCGCTACGTTGCCCAGGCTGGTCTCGAACTCCTGAGCTCAAGCGATCCACCTGCCTGGCCTCCCAAAGTGCTGGGATTACAGGCCTGAGCCACCATGACCAGCACTGATTTTATCTTTTATATTCACCATTCATGTGACTATCTTGATTGGTATATTTTTGTTTGTTTAACACCTATTCCTCCATTATTGATTCATGTATTTAATATAGCAATAAAAATGTATTCCCTTAAACAGGTTAATAGTGGGGGCGATTTAAAGTGGTGGAAAGGGGGATTTGTTTTTCTAGCAAGTAAATGAGGTTCACTTATTCGGAGGAGACTCTGACAGCTTGACTTGCATAGAATACAAATGAGAAGTCAAAAACACTTTTTGAATGGCTTAGCTGAGCCCGAACCATGGGAAAGGTATCAAGCTTTCCTCAGGCTCTCATGTAGATGTTTAGAAAAAAAGGAAGCAGCACTTTTAAAGCTGTAAGAACAGAAGTTACATGGAGAGGAGTGGAAGAGGGCTGGTAATGGAGGTGGGAGAACTTTAAAAAGCATAGCTGTTTGGGGATGAAAAGTAAGGATAAAATGTTCTTATATATTTCAAAAACTCCCTGGAAGATAGTCTATCTTTAATCACTAACAAAAAGTGTCAATGGGGTGGGTGAGGTGGCTTACGCCTGTAATCCCAGCACTTTGGGAGGGCAAGCCGGGCAGATCACGAGGTCAGGAGTTCAAGACCAGCCTGACCAACATGGTGAAACCCCGTCTCTACTAAAGATACAAAAATTAGCTGGGTGTGGTGGCACACGCCTGTAATCCCAGCTACTCAGGAGGCTGAGGCAGGAGAATCACTTGTACCCAGGAGGCAGAGGTTGCCGTGAGCCGAGATCGTGCCATTGCACTCCAGCCTGGGTGATAGAACAAGACTGTCTCAAAAAAAAAAAAAAAAAGAAAAAGTGTGAATGGATCCTAAAAGACAAGTGTGGATTTTAGAGAGATTTCCATAAAAATATAGCTTTTAGTAAGTTTTCATACATAAAGGAAACACATCAGTATTTTAAAATACAAAATTTAAAAATTATGTGGAATGTTTAATTCCTCAGTGTCTAGCACGTAAGATAATGCAAAAAAAAGTGAAATTCGTGAATGCCAGATAAATGAGGTTTTACCTAACTAGGATTCCTTTAATAATCAGTCTTAAAACTTTTAAGATTTTAAACAAATGCAAAATGTATGAACATAAAGCAAGGATATGAGAGATTATATAGTGTTATTATTTGCATTCCTGGTACCTTGCACAGTATCTGGTCCATCTAGTAAAAATTTAATAAAATGGCCCTTCACAGCTTAAGTTAAAAAAGAGTAAATAAAAAGCAACTCGTATCTTAAACACGTTAAAACACACACATGAATTCCACATCAAAAACACCTGAGGTTGGCTGGGCACGGTGGCTCACGCCTGTAATCCCAGCGCTTTGGGAGGCCGAGGCAGGCGGATCACGAGGTCAGGAGATCAAGACCCATCTTGGCTAACACAGTGAAACCCCTTCTCTACTAAAAATACAAAAAATTAGCTGGGCATGGTGGCAGGCACCTGTAGTCCCAGCTACATGGGAGGCTGAGGCAGGAGAATGGCATGAACCAGGGAGGTGGCGCGCGCAGTGAGCCGAGATTGCGCCACTGCACTCTAGCCTGGGCGACAGAGTGAGACTCTATCTCAAAAAAAAAAAAAAAAAAAAAAAAAAAAAAAGGCCGGGTGCAGTGGCTCACGCCTGTAATCCCAGCACTTTGGGAGGCTGAGGCGGGTGGATCACGAGGTCAGGAGATCGAGACCATCCTGGCTAACATGGTGAAACCCCGTCTCTACTAAAAATACAAAAAATTAGCCTGGCGTGGTGGCGGGCGCCTGTAGTCCCAGCTACCCGGGAGGCTGAGGCAGGAGAATGGTGTGAACCTGGGAGGTGGAGTTTGCAGTGAGCCGAGATCGCACCACTGCACTTCAGCCTGGGTAACAGAGTGAGACTCCGTCTCAAAAAAAAAAAAAAAACACACCTGAGGTTAAACTGTGTACCTGGAGAACTTTATTCTCATTAGCTGAAATCTTAAAATAATCTTCATTGAGCAGTATGAAACAGTTTTATAAACATCTGATATACCAATGAGTACTTTGAATTTTGTCATCTTAATCATGTCCCATTTAAATCAGTCCATTTTCCTATTGTTTCCAGTCATGATCCATTGTATTGTACCTGAAGCAGTTTTCAGAAAGACTTCTTCAAAATTACTTAATTCATTTTTTTTTTGGTAAAAGAAATATGAGGATACCATTTGTTTGTGCCAAATGCAGTGCATCTTTACTGTCTTGTAGATTTCCACCTGTAATCATAAACTGAAATAGAAAGAAAATAAAATAAGCTGACTTTAATAGGGCAGCAATAACAGTTTCCTAAACATGCCTTCCTACCACTTCCTTATTCCAGAATGCTCTTTCCTCTGTGACTGCCACACACCTACCCTTTAAAATTCAGCTGGGAGATTACCTCCTATGCAGAGTAGTGCCTGACTACACCTCAGGGATGTATGTATGTGTGTGTGCATGTAGAGGTGCAGAATTCATCACTAGACTCTGTTAAAATGTATTTATATACCCACCTTTCCTATTAGACAATGCATTCCTTGAGGACAGAGATCAGGTGTTATGAAAGCGTGAATAACGAAATCAATGATTCAATAGTGTTGATTGATTCAACAGTTCTCCAGGTGTAGTCTGGTAACTCCCAGTAGGTATGTGAAGTCAAAACTATTTTCCTAACAATAATAAGACACTTTCTGTCTTTTTCACTCTCACTCTACTGCAAGTGTCCACAAGGTATTCAAGAAGCTACACGATGTTTGACACCACCAGAGACTGACTACAGAAAAAGATATGAAAATTCAGCAGGCTTCTAGTAACACAGTCATTAGAGATTTGAAAAAACATACAACTGTACTCATGTTGCTAATTTTTTTGTTCTGGAATATACTTATTTTTCATAAAAATATGCTATTTATGTTATCCAGTAGTTTCTTATTTTAAAAGGAATATTTAAAATATTTTGTTTTAATTTTTAATATAGTATGTATCAGTAGGTAAGACTCACACAAACAAAAGCTCTTTGGGGGTCCTCAATAATAAAGAATGTGAAGTGGTTTTGAGAGCAAAAGGTTTGAGAATCAGTGAGTTAATGCATGCTAATGAATTCTCTGTAGGAAAACGTATGGCTTTTGGCAAATAAGCATACTTCTGCATAGACCCATTAGAGTCCGCTCAGTAATTAGAATGCCATCTTTCCTAATCTGTTAAAATGAAAATGTCACTAAAGAGTTATGTGTTGATAGTGAGAGCACTGAAGCAGTGCTGCGTAAGGGGCGCCTTCTTCTGAAGACGTGATTCAAGTATAATGATGTATATTTTTGTAAAGCATACTTCAAAAGTCTCACTAAAATGAATTCATTCTAGGTACAACTTAGGGAGAAAACACAAAACGAAGGTAGAATTGCAAATGATAAATAGATATTTTCATATAGCTATTTAAATCTTTAATATGATTAGCTATTGCATATCCATTCCGGAAACATAGCCATAATTAAATCCTTGACTATCTGTAAAGCAGAAGATGTAAGGCAGGGCGCAGTGGCTCACGCCTATAATCCCAGCACTTTGGGAGGCTGAGGCAGATGGATCACCCGTGGTCAGGAGTTTGAGACCATCCTGGCCAACATGGCGAAACCCCGTCTCTACTGAAAATACAAAAATTAGCCAGGCGTGGTGGCAGGCCCCTGTAGTCCCAGCTACTTGGGAGGCTGAGGCAGGAGAATCACTTGAACCCGGGAGGCAGAGGTTGCAGTGAGCCGAGATCGTGCCACTGCACTCCAGCCTGGGGGACAGAGCGAGACTCGCCTCCAGAAAAAAAAAAAAAGACTAATAAAAATATTGGGAAAACTTTCTTGTTACTAACATACCTAAAACTTTAATACTAGAACAGATGCCTACATCCAGTATTTAAATTACGTAAAATACTAACCAAGTATACTTTTTATTTTACCTACAACTTTACTAAATAGTTGAAAAAAACGGCAAGACAAGAGGGCATCATCTCCTCTCCCAGTGTATAAAATAACGATGATGGGCCTGGCGCGGTGGCTCAAGCCTGTAATCCCAGCACTTTGGGAAGCCAAGGCTGGCAGATCACGAAGTCAGGAGATCGAGACCATCCTGGCCAACGTGGTGAAACCCCGTCTCTACTAAAAATACAAAAAAATTAGCCGGGTGTGGTGGCGGGCGCCTGTAGTCCCAGCTACTCGGGAGGCTGAGGCAGGAGAATGGCGTGAACCCGGGAGGCAGAGCTTGCAGTGAGCCGAGATCATGCCACTGCACTCCAGTCTGGGTGACAGAGCGAGACTCCGTCTCAAAAAAAAAAAAAAAAAAAAAAGATAACGATGATGATGATCTCATGGTGGTGGCTTCCATCATACACATAATGAAGGTTGTTTATGCCAGGTATAATACCAAATGCTTTACACTCAATATTTTATTTAGCCTTCATAACAACTCTATTAATTAAGTACTATTATCATTCTCATTTTACAGATGAGAAAACTGAAGTCTAGTGAGATAAAAGACTCCAGGTTATAAAGCTATGAAAAATGAAGTAGGGGCTGGATACCACGTTTGTTATGCCCTAACTATGCTTTTAACTACTACACTATAAATGCAAGGTATTGAATTAAATTTCAGTTTGGAACCATGTCCAAGTAAAAATCACTTCAGTTCTGTCATTCCTAAGTGTGTGTGTGTGAATAAACATTAAGATTACTCATGGCTAACACATGAAAATTTAGGAGCCTAGTATTTCAGAGTCTGCAGAAAAGCATTGTTTAAAGTGATTTACCAAGCAGAGTGACTATAATGAGAAATTAATGTAACTTTTATCTTTTCATATTATTTGTGAATAATAACAAATAAAAGTTTAGAGTTGGAGTCTGCAAACTCATTTAGTCAGCAGTGTCACTTTCCAAAACAAGTTATTCATCTTGGAGGTAGCAGCTACCAAGTGTCCTGGTAGCATAGTATGGAATTTAACCTTATTTCTTAGTGTATGTGTGGGCTAGCTCTCTGTTTTAAAGCTAATTTAAAGAAATATCTATTCATTTGCTTAGTAGAACTCTCTAAAAAGCCGTAGGCATTTTATTACTGTAAAAATGAAAGTTTTACTCCATTATTTAAATGGTATGCCCAAACTATAAATAGCTACACTTGGTGTCAGGTACATGTATTTTTGATTATTGCTTAATTCTGACAAATGCTAAATTATATTATAAAATTGATTAAAAGTTGCCTCTTAAGCCTGGTAATTCACATAGGTTTAAAAAATTTTTTTTCAAGGAGCTTTTGCCATTTATCATATATAAAAACAATACATGAGATTTGTGTAACTTAAATTGCTATGAACAGAGTATTTTGATATTTTGTTTCAATTAACTTTCTAATATCACAAGTAGACAATATGTACCCCAACTGTGGCATTGGTTTGTTCCTTTCTATTCTGCAAAATTTTAACTAAAATTTAGTTAAAAAATGAATTTTAAAAATCTCAAAAATAACAAAATGGATGTTACCTTTTTAACACCAATCTCGACAGCTCTCCCTATTACATCCTGTAAGTCATCTGTAAAAGATAAACTCTGTATTATGAAAACCTGGCAGACAAAAATTTGACTTTTTTTTTTAGCTTCTGTGCAAATGGCTATTTGAAGTTTTATATTTGAAATTATAAACTTCTACAGGTAAGAAGACCTTAATTAAACTTTATTATAAATGTTCATGATCATGGTTTATCAATAAATGTGTTTCACTTTGTTTACAGGTTTATCCAAAATGCATAATGAGTTCTTTTTTTTTGAGACGGAGTTTCGTTCTTGTTGCCCAGGCTGGAGTGCAATGGTGTGGTCTCGGCTCACTGCAACTTCCACCTCCTGGGTTCAAGTGATTCTCGTGCCTTAGCCTCCCAAGTAGCTGGGATTACAGGTGCATGTCACCATGCCCAGCTAATTTTATTGTATTTTTAGTAGAGATGGGGTTTCACCATGTTGGCCAGGCTGGTCTCGAACTCCTGACCTCAGGTGATCCACTTGCCTCAGCCTCCCAAAGTGCTGGGATTACAGGCATGAGCCACTGCGCCCAGCCAGGAGTTCTTTATTATTTCAATTTTAAGAGCGGATTATGTTGCCCAGGCTGCTCTTGAACTCCTGAGCTCAGGCAATCCTCCTGCCTCAGACTCCCAAAGTGCTGAGATTACAGGTGTGAGCCACAAGACTCAGCTTGAATTATGCTTTTCAAGATCTCCTGAGGCAGAAAATTTGTCTTCATAGGAAACTATTCGCCTTAATAAAGGAAATATTTACCTTGATGCTTTTGAACCCCCCTATAAATTCCTCTGAACATAGGGTCAGTCAAGTTGATACCAATATCTGTAGAAAGCAAAAGTCACTGATTAATTATTGAGTCTCTACATGAAACTTGTACTTAAATAAAAAGCTTCTGTTACTAAACTTTTTGTTCACACACTCATCTACTCAAACAATATCCAAGTGCCTACCACTTGTCAACTACTGTGCTAGAAACATGGGATACAAAGATGAATAGGATATAATTCCTGCTTTCAAGAAACTCACCGCAGAACTGGTAAGGCAGATCCATTATCAGACAATTATGAAATATTAGAAGTAAACACTGGTACTATGGGACACAGAAGAGGAACACCCAACCTAGTCTGGTGGCTGGCTCAGAAGAGGCTTCCAGAAAGAAGTCATCATTGAACTGAATCTTAAAGGATGAGTGACTGTTATCCAGTGGAAGAGAGGTAACTGCACAAAGAGGAAGCAGCGGGAGCAAAGCCTTCAAGATGGGAAAGAGCACAGTGCTTGTAAAGAGCTACAGGCTGTTCTGGCTGCTGGAGAGAAGAACAATTGGCCCTCTGTATCTCTGGGATCTGGATCTGCAGATTCAGCCAACCACAGGTCGATTGAAAATATTAGAAAATAAAAATAACAACACAACAATAAAAAATAATATAAATAAAAGCACAGTAAGGTATAAAAACCATTTACATAGCATTTACATCAAATTAGGTATTTTAAGTAATCTAGACATGATTTAAAGCATACATGAGGATATGCACAGGTTACAGGCAAACACCAAGCCATTTTATGTAAGGGTTTTGGTATCTGCAGGAGGTTCTGGAACCAGTCTCCTGCCGATACTGAGGGAAGACAGTGTAAGGAAGGGAGAGGTCAGAAGACACCAGACTCAGTTATGGTACAGACACTTGTTTTTAAAATACTGGATGCAACAGAAAGCTCTGTTCTGCTGTAGAATATAAGGGAACATGGGGAACAACAAGATATGAAGTCAGACTGTGACTGGTCACAGGCAAGAAAAAAAAATGCCTCCCTTATTGAAAATACACATAATTTAGCTTTTAGCAGGAGGAGAATCTCAAAATTTGCGGTGGTGGTAGGCAGCTGATTACCAACAGACTCCCTACATTATTTCTGCCAAGTTTCAGCTTCTTGGTATGTTCTCATTCTAATTTCTGCCAAGTTGGTCCCCAGGAGTGTCTGCTCCACCAATAAGACACACCTTGAAAGTGAATGGGAGTTTAGAAAATTTAAGAGACAGTGAAGAGAGTATTCCAGGCATTTGAAACAATAGGGGAAAAAGTAAAATGCAGAAAACTACAAAGATATTTGGGCACTAACATGTCAACAAAGATGGGTGGGATGTGGTACCCTTTAAAAGGGCTATTAACATATAAACATCATCTAATACTATACATACAATATAGAAGTTTGGTGGAATGGCCCAATCCAAAGAATTACTATCTAGTTTCTTTATAAGTAAGTACAGGAAATTAGATAAATGGGGCAGACTGAGAAAGGAAACCCAGGGAAGAGGGGAGAGGCCTTTCTGCCTAAAATAATCCTTCAGAGAGGTTTAGTCTAGGGTCACCGATCATCACTGATCATTAGGAAAACAGAAATGGTCTGTATCTCTTCTAGACCATTTCCCCTTTGTGCAGTGTTAAGCAAACAATTATTCATAACACTTGTCAAAGACTCTGAGGAAGCCTTTATTCAAGAGAGACTACTGACAGAAGGGAAGGTTTTGCAGAAGGGGGAGGGACTGGGCTCAATTTTGAATACAAGGACAAGTGAGGATTTATTGCCACCAAGTAGAATGGGGATCAACAGATGAAAAATTACTAAGAGGAAACATCAAAGGTGAGGGAAGATTCTGGGTTTACTCAACTTGATGGATTTTTGCTGAAGGCAGGCCAGAGTGTCAGGATATTCTGCTTGAGGATTTGAGATCTGGGATGGGGGAAATGAGGGATGAGAAAGGTCTATAGGTCCTGGCTGATGAGGAAAGCAGGTCCTACGTCCCAGTATAGTCTCTGGGTTTATCTGGGCAGACAGAAATGCAGGAAGACTCCTTCAAAAGTCCCTTGACCCAAGTGCAGTGAGAAGCACTTAAAGGCCATGCAGATGTAGACAGTGGTAATCACAGCTGACCACCCACCATCCTTCCACACTTTAGCATCATCCTAATCTTTTTTTTATTTTTCTTTTTAAGACAGAGTCTCACCCTATCGCCCAGGCTACAGTGCAGTGGCACAATCTCAGCTCACTGCAACCTCCACCTCCCGGGTTCAAGCAATTCTCCTGTCTCAGCCTCCCAAGTAGCTGGGATTATAGGCGCCCACCACCACACCCAGCTAATTTTTTGTATTTTTAGTAGAGACAGGGTTTTGCCATGTTGGACAGGCTGGTCTCGAACTCCTGACCTCAGGAGCTCCACCCACCTTGGCCTCCCAAAATGCTGGGATTACAGGCATGAGGCACCACGCCCAGCCAGTCTTAGTAAATTCTTGTACCCTCGCACTGCTGGCCCAGATAGTCACAGCTCACCCGCAACAAATAAGTGAGTCTTTCTGAGCCTCAGTTTTCTCACTAGTAGGGTGGACATAAACTTTCTCCTTCCAGCAACAAAATGTGGCTCAAAACCAAAAACAAATATGAAAGCATTTTGCAAATTAAAAGTCTTATTAGCATGTAATTATTGGGAACACTGTTATTACAAACACTGTAACATGCCAACAACAAATGGAATTTGAATCAGCTTTAGCCATACTGTCATACCACCTTAAGTGGTTAAGGCTCCCGATCCAAGAATGCATTATCAAATAGCCAAATGTGAGTCAATATGTTTTGAACATTAAGACTCATGATGTAATCATGAAAACAAAGCCACTCAAAATCCTATTTATTTAATTTGTTCAAAATGTTCTTATCTATGTTAAGGGATAGTGAGAAACAAAAACCTTGGATCTGAGAAATGCAAGCACCTTTAAATGATCAGGCCCAGAAAGGCATTTAAAATGTTCACAGCAGTCCAAGCTCACTCCCCTTTGAGCTACATAATTACTTCTTGAAGCCGCTTGCTATGTGGGCTCTAGACTGACGCCAAGTGGCCCTAAAATGCCATACACCCTATAGTTCAACAATACATAGCCAATCACTAACCAATGTTATTTCTGTAAACCAATGAGAATCCCTGATTAACCATTTTTGTAACCGCGCCCCACCTTTTGATTTGTCCTTTAAAAATTTGAGCCTCTCTTTTGTTCTCTGGAGCACTCCCCAAGGCAACTTGGAAGTGTGTCCTGGGCTGCAGTCCTCAACTGTTGTGCTTGAATAAACTCTGTAAACTAGATTCTGACCTTTTTGGTTATTTGAGGTTGACAATAGTATCTTTTAAATTAAAAGTCTCTATTAGACATAAGCCTATTGGCATGTAAACTCAAACAAACTAGACAAATACTGTATGAAAACCAATGTCTAGCCAGATCCAGCTAAAGATAGTAAGTAGCTTGAAAAGCTAAGAAAGTAAGAGATACGGGTGGGAGGGAATGATAGGAACAAAAACAAGGCAAAGTGGAAAATTGCTACTTCTCATTAGGGGAGAAAACTGAAGGATTCATACATTCAGTAGCATGTCACCCTATATAGATCAGTAATGTTTCTTTTTCATTAATTTTCTTCAAATAGCTGGCTTGAAAAGCAGCACCTACTTTATTATTTAAGAGTTCTTCAAATATTGACTTTTCGTTTTCAAAACAAAGTAAGAGTAGAAAACGGCACTGTTTGTAACCAGGAGAAAACCACAACTCTTAAGTTGAAGCCTCAGTTATTGGGCTCACTGAATCGTGTCACATCACTGTCACCTATGATCTAGGAATACAAAGGGACAGCAAATAAGGCACAATTTGTTTTTTAGATATTGCTAGTCTTTAGATATAACCCCGAGTTTATAGCAAATACGGGGGATTAGAGAACAAGCTCAATGACACTACTATTTAGCAAACAGACAAAGCCAGGAGACAGACTTTCTGTAGGGTGTTGACTTAAAATCACGAGATCTATACATTAGGGAAGAACTTTATTTCTTTTATTGACGTGCAACCTGCAGGCTGGGAAGCAGAGCCTTTGGCTGAGAACAAAAGCAACCATTTCAAAGGAAGAAGTGGGGAACAGGAGTTTTACACTAAATGGGCTGGCTAACGTACATATTTAACAGGTTATAGGAGGAGCTATGTATATTCATGAAAGGTGGATTCATGCGTGTATGATAAGCAAACATACATGTTACACAAACCCCATGTTCACTTTGGGGTGGAGACTTAACATTAAAATGCAGTAAAATTAAGCTTTATATGTCAAAAGGTGCACAGCCTGAGTAAACCAGCCAGAACTAGTCTGTGACTGGTGGTCACTTGTCAGGAAGGAATGCGCGGTGAAACTGGTCAGCTGTCATGTCAAAACCACAAAAAAGGAGGGGAGTCTGGCTGTGGTGTCAGGTGGTTGGCTGAAGTCAGCAGAGGAGTGAGTCTTGTTTCTGTTCCAGGGCTGGTTTCTATTTAACGCTTACAAAAAAAGTCTGGTATCGGTTAGTGAGGAAGGGGGTGTACTGAGGTGTGACCAAACTCTCATCTAATCATGGCTGGAAAACTTAGCTTTCAGAGTTTTTCTGGGGTCTCCTTGGCCAAGGTAGTGTCCATTCAGTCAGTCGGGTGGGGCAGGGGGGTGCTTAGAAATTTACTTTTATTTCATGTTTCCCCATTTTAGCCACGATCTGCTGCAAGCAGCACCAATAGCCAAATCTTTATTTTGTCCCATGTCATTGCCAGGGTGGTGTGGCTATCTGTCCCAGATCCATCCCTACGATAGCCAATTGGACATCCTAGATCAACCAGGAATAGAGAGATGGCAGGCCCTCACTAACCCGTAAGGTATAAGAGATATAAGAGCCAAAAGGAATGGCTACAAAATTAACTTGCCTGTAAGTTCTACGCACTGAGCCATCATAATTCTGGTTTTAACAGGGGACTTCTTGCAGTCCTATTATAAGTAATTTAAATGTTAAGAAAGAAAGTATGATGGAGACTATGAATATGACAAACACTTAGCAGTTTGAAAGGGATTTCCCAGGCCAGTTGGAAGCCAACTAAATAGATCATTGAGAGGATTAGTAGTTCATAGCTCTTGTAACCATTTAAGGTTGTTTGGATAGTCTTTCTCTAACAGTGTCTTTTTTTTTTGAGATGGAGTCTCGCTCTGTCACCCAGGCTGGAGTACAGTGGTGCCATCTCGGCTCACTGCAAGCTCCACCTCCCAGGTTCACGCCATTCCCCTGCCTCGGCCTCCCAAGTAGCTGAGACTACAGGCGCCTGCCGCCACACCCGGCTAATTTTTTGTATTTTTAGTAGAGACGGGGTTTCACCATGTTAGCCAGGATGGTCTCGATCTCCTGACCTTGTGATCCTCCCGCCTCGGCCTCCCAGAGTGCTGGGATCACAGGGGTGAGCCACTGCGCCCGGCCTCTAACAGTTTCTATTTCACCTGAAGTACTTATGTAACAGGAGGTATGGGCCAAACAACTCCTTGTTTGGCTAGGAGAAAATCTACGGCAACTTTATTATCTAGTACTACTTGAGCCAAGGAGTTTAGAGACTTTTGTTGAGCTACAAGGCTTTTTGCAGTGTCTGCAGCTATCTTGAGGTGGGAAATTAAAGAAAAATAAAATTAAAAAGATAGAGAAATAAGTTTTCCTGTATTAGACTGACTTGTCCCAGAGGCGGCAACAGGCACAACCCAGACCCAGGAAAAGTCTTGATAATGGTATCTAATGTGCTGTGGAGACTCTCCCAGCACTCCCTCAACATAAGGAGAAGAAAAACAAATTTTCCTTTGCTTTATGGTATGAGTTTATAGATTCTTGTTCTCTGTAACTAGTAACTTCAAGTATTCTGTTTTATCTAAGAAGTACAACAAAGGTCACGAGAAGCCTGAGTAGGCCTGAACTACAGCTGCCTGGGCCCCACAGTGAAGGTTATGGGATAAGCCCGTGCCTAGGCAAACCTAGATAACGGACACCTGGGTTGCTTGGCAATGGTCATGAGCAATCCTGAGTCTGTCCTGCCTCTGTATCCCTGCTTTCACACCACTGTAAGCTTGCTTCAAGCTAGCCCACACCCTTTTGTGAAGTGTGTATAAAAGTCAAGTGCTGTCTTTGTTTCGGGCTCAGTCTTTGGACCTGAGTCTGCTGGGCCTGAGTGCACTCAATAAAAGATTCTCCTGTTTCAACCCGAGGTCTCTCATACTCCTAAATCCCGCAACAATGTGACTAATAGTGGCAAAGACTTTTCAAATCATATCCTTATTGACATAAATCCCAACACTCGGAATTAATATTCCCAGGATGCTTTGATCTGTATCACCTTCACACCCTGCCAACACAGACCTTTTAGTTTAATAATGGAGAGAAAGGGGGTCCTTCTGTAAGTTTGTGTAAGGATACGGGGGGTTACAAAATATCTCAGCAAGCATGAACCTTCTAACTGTAGGCTGCCGAGGCAACAGTGTGCCCAAAGCTGTGCAGGTGGATCAGACCTTATGCCACATACAAACACACAGCCTGAATGGGGGGCACAAGTGATACTCCTGAGGATGTCTTAATTAGCAGATGTATTCATGCGGAGTGCTGACATCACCAAACTAAACTATGGGCCATTTCTCTTGCAAGCTTTCCAGAATCCACTCACTTATTTTAAATGTAAATATTGTGGGCACTGTAGGGATATATTTTTAACTTTATTTATCTGATGTAGATGACACTTGTCTATCCAGTAGTTCATAGGTCAAGAAGGTCCCATGGTAGGCCGGGTGCAGTGGCTCATGTCTGTAATCCCAGCACTCTGGGAGGCCAAGGCAGGTGGATTACTTGAGGTCAGGAGTTTAAGACCAGCCTGGCCAACACAGTGAAATCCAGTCTCTACTAAAAATACAAAAATTAGTTGGGCATGGTGGCAGGTGCCTGTAATCCCAGCTCTTGGGATGCTGAGGCAGGAGAATCGCTTGAACCCGGGAGGCGGAGGTTATAGTGAGCTGAGATCTCACCACTGCACTCCAGCCTGGGTAACAGGCCAAGACTCAGTCTCAAAAAAAAACCATAAAAAACCCAAAGAACAACAACAACAAAGAAGGTCCCATGGTAAAGAATGGGTTTCCAATGTTAAAAACACAGGACACATCAAAACAAGGGGTGACAATATCTGGGCTTTGAAGGAATTGGACCTGGAAAATCAACAGGGAAAGGGGTTGGTCTGGGTAAGTGGTGACATTAGGGACATCTGAGCAGTCAGTGACAGATATTACCAATGGCACATATCTATTATGAATGGATCAAGGAAGTTGTTGGCAAATCCAGCAATCCAATAGGTTTCCTTCTACTAGCAACATGTGGGACAGCTTAACTAAAGTGTTATCATGCCATTCTCTGCATTGAGACAAGACAGAGGGACAATTGCAAAGAGAGGGAAAGGTGACAGTGCAGGTATGAGTAAAAGGAATGGAGGGAACAGCCATTTAACAATTCAGAAAACTGAACCAAGGGAAAAACCATAAATCCCATACAAATCCAAGGGGATTATCTGACAAACTTAAGGGACTGTCCTTAAGTAAGAGAACATCTCACTACAGGAACAAAGCAATGATGTCCTCAGGAGTGGGGGTCATAAGCCCTGCTCAGTTCTGATAAAGACAAGAAGAGGAAGCACACAGGTAGCTAAACATCGAAGTTATCTAGCAGAAAGGCATGGAACAAATTCTATTAGTTTAGATAGAGGCAAATTATTAAATGAGACCCAGTGTCTTTGAATACAGTCCTGGCCCTGGGTCTCATGAAAGCAGTTTATGTTGACTATTGCCTTTTTCTGGGTCTAAAGATGAGGCTCTGGTTAACTGAAGTCTCGTGTAGAGACTGGCACCAACTTCCAAGATTCAGCAAGGGTTGTTGTTTTCAGATGAGACATGTGCGACCAGGAGTCAATCTCTATAACTTAGCAGCACAAGGATTAATTAATAGCACCCATCCAGTAGGCTGGATGAAGTATTTTAACTGATGTCTCTTCCACTACTTGTCATCACCAAGCTGGAGGTGGTAATACTGGAGTTTATGGCCTGTTGGGAAGCTGTAAAAAGATTCTACAACTTGCAGTGACTGATCTTTATAGCTTTAACAAGCCCCTGGCAATAAGCCTAAAGTTCCCTCCTGTCATTTGGCAGGAGAAAATATTTCCTGGTCTAAGTGCACAGACCAACCAGTAACAATTTCAAAAGGGGAGAGCTGACATTTACTGGTGGGAATGGACTGCAGAATCAGTAATGCTAATGGGAGAGCTTTAGGCAAGGACAGGTTAAGTTTCTGTAACTTTCGCCAGCTCGCTTTCAATGATCCCATTAGACTGTTCAACTAGCCCAGAGGACTGGGGGTAATAGGCACAGTGAAAGTGCTGTAAAAGGGCAGATTTAAAAAACTTGTTCTAGTATTTGGCAGGTAAAATGAGTGCCTCTGTCGCTGTGGAATTCAGTGGGAACACCCTAGATAGGAATGGTTTTTCTCAAGCAGCATTTTGGCCACCACCATAGCTGTTGCTTGTTTACAGGTGAAAGACCTACCTCAATGAGAATACATCGTCAACCATTAGAAGAACAAAATTTAATCTGTGGGATGGTGGTAACTAAATGAAATCAAGTTGTCACATGGTTAAGGGACCCTAGGGGAGAGGAAATTGTCCTGGAGGGAGCTTCAGGAGTTCACCTGGGTTATACTGAGGGTAGATATTGCAAAGTTTACATAGCGGTGGGGCAAGAGCTGGAGAGAGCCACCATACAGTAGTACTGTCTACCCCACTGAATCATTTTGTCTGGATTCTAATGGGTTAGATTATGTATGAAGGTTGTTTGTCTTTGCAGGGTGCTGGGTAGGACTGGATGTCCATTTGGACCTTCCTGTAATTTTGTCTGGGGATTGCAAGCGCAATTTTGTTTCATCCATTTCCCTCTTCCAGACTCCAAGACTGTCTTTTGTGAAAATAAGTCTGGAAAGGTCTTCAGATGGGGAGGGGAGCAAGGAAGAAGGAAGAGCAAGGGGGGGAGGAGGAGGAGGAGGAGGAGGAGTGGGTTGAGTACAACTCGGGAAGGAGCCACATGCTGGGTGGCAGCTTTAGCTGCTGCATCCACTAGGTGGTTGCCTTCGCTGTCTTCTGTCTTGTCAGAGAAATGTCCTTCGACTATGATAACGGCTAGGGCTCAATGAGCCTGAATGGCATCTAAGAGAAACAAAACAGTCTTTGTTTTTGTTTTTTTCTGAGACAGAGTCTCACTCTGTCGCCCGGGCTGGAGTGCAGTGGTGCAATCTCAGCTCACTGCAGCCTCCACCTCCCAGGCTCAAGTGATTCTCCTGCCTCAGCCTCCCACATAGCTGGGATTACAGGTGCATGCCACCACGTCTGGCTAATTTTTGTGTTTTTTATAGAGACGAGGTTTCACCATGTTGGTCAGGCTGGTCTCAAACTCCTGACCTCAAGTGATCCACCTGCCTCGGCTTCCCAAAGTGCTAGGATTACAGGCGTGAGCCACTGCACCTGGCCTAGTCTTTGTTCTTAATAGGTTGTCCAGAGGAAGTAAAAAATCCTCTTTGTTTCTAGAGCATGCCAAAATCATGGGCAACTCCAAAGACATACGTGCTGTCTGCATAAATATTAACCGTTTCACCCCAGGCCAGTAGGCAGGCCCAAGTGAGGGGATGCTAATTCTGCTCGTTGGGCAGATCGGGCAGTTGGCTGGGGGCCTGATTCAATGATTCCCATCACAGAGACCACCACATAGGCTGCATAATGGAAGCCAGCAGAATTTTTGAGAAAGGATCCATTAGTGGGTAAGGGGGTCTCCCTTAAGTCTATATGAGGTGAGAGAAAAGTGTCTGTAAAGACAACACAGTCTTTGGGTGCGTTAATCTCTTATTAAAGGCAAAACGGGGCCAGGTGTAGTGGCTCATGCCTGTAATCCCAGCACTTTAGGAGGCCGAGGTGGGCAGATGACGAGGTCAGGAGATCGAGACCGTCCTGGCTAACACGGTAAAACCCCGTCTCTACTAAAAATACAAAACATTAGCCGGGCGTGGTGGCAGGCGCCTGTAGTCCCAGCTACTCAGGAGGCTGAGGCAGGAGAATGGTGTGAATCCGGGAGGTGGAGCTTGCAGTGAGCCAAGATGGCGCCACTGCACTACAGCCTGGGCGACAGAGTGAGACTCTGTCTCAAAAAAAAAAAACGCAAAATGGTAGCTACATTAAGGAGGTTACAGTAAATTATGGTTAGGTTAGAAGAGGAGAAAAGTATCTCATAGGAGGTCAATCAACTGGCTTAAAGATGCTGAGTGAGGGGACAGGTGCAAAGGGCCTAAATTGAATGAGAAACATATACAACGAGAGGGGATCCCAGGAGTAATTTTTTGGTAGCCTTGATGAGGCCTGAGGGGGTGGCAACTGCCCTCAGTACAGGAAGGAATGCCTTGTGAAACTGGTCAGCTGTCATGGTGAAACTGCAAAAAAGGAGGGGAGCTGGTCCCAATGTCAGGCAGTTGGCTGAAGTCAGCAGAGGAGCAAGTCTTCCAATCTTTGTTTTTCCAGGGCTGGTTTCTGTTCAACTTGTAGGAAAAAAGTCTGGTATTGGTTAGTAAGGAAGGAGACCAGGACCAACCCCTCATCTTGTCATGTTTGGGAATCTTAGTTTTTCATGTTTTTCTGGGGTCTACTTGGTCGAGGGGGGTTCTGTTCAGCCAGTTTAGGGGGCTTAGAATTTTATTTTTATTTCACAGGCACAACCAGCACAGCTGCTTTGGTAAGTCAGTGACATTAAAAAAAGAAATGTGTGGCAGGGCGCGATGGCTCACGCCTATAATCCCAGCACTTTGGGAGGCTGAGGCAGGAGGATCACGAGGTCAGGAGATCGAGACCATCCTGGCTAACACAGTGAAACCCCGTCTCTACTAAAAATACAAAAAATTAGCCGGGCGTGGTAGTGGGCGCCTGTAGTCCCAGCTACTCGGGAGGCTGAGGCAGGAGAATGGCGTGAACCTGGGAGGCGGAGCTTGCAGTGAGCCCAGACTGCACCACTACACTCCAGCCTGGGCAACAGAGCGAGACTCCGTCTCAAAAAAAAAAAAAAAAAAAAAAAAAAAAAAAAAAGAAATGCGCTAGAGCAAGGGATTGGTAAACTAAGGCCCACAAGCCACTGCCTACTTTTGTTTGCCTCTAAGCTAAGAATGACTTTACATTTTTAAATAGTTGAAGAAAATCAAAAGAATATTTTGTGACACATCAAAATTATAAGAACTTCAAGTTTCAGTGACCGTAAGTTTTACTGGAACATAGCCACACCTATTTACATACTGTCTATCACCTGCTTTTGAATGACAAGGTGTGAGATAGGAAAAAATGCAAACTGCTTTCTCCTACAGTATTCTCATACTCACAATACTCTGAATTTTTTGTTTGTTTGTTTTAAGTAGAGATGGGGTCTCACTTTGTTGCCCAGGCTGGTCTTGAACTCCCGGGCTCAAGCAGTCCTCCCACCTTGGCCTCCCAAAGTGCTTGGATTACAGGCGTGAGGATTCACTTCTGACGTCAGGTATGTGTGGGGTTTCCTCTCCCAACAACCAATTCTCTGACACCAGCTGGGTGACCTATAATTTAACTCAATTCTCACACTATCTACCTGGATATAACATCAGACCGCAGAGGTCAAGGGCTCAGTCCCACAAGACTCTCCCCATTTCAGATACCAATTACAAGCAGTAGGTTCCCAGGTTACCCACAACTTGTCTAACTTGGCTACAATAAGAGGTTCCCACAACCCCCTTCTCAGGTTTGATCATTTGCTAGAGCAGCTCACGGAACTCAGGAAAGCACTTTACTTATTACCCATTCATTGTAAAAAGATGCCATTCAAAAACGGCCAGGTGGAAGAGACACATAGAGACATGTATGGGTTTTTATAGAGGCTTCACCATGTAGGTATGATTGATTAAATCACTGGCCATTAGTGAACAACTCAACCTTCAGTTTCTCTCCCCTTCCCCAGAAGTGGGAGTGGGTGGGAGGGACTGAAACTTCCAACTCTCTAATCACATGATGGGTTTTCCTAGGCAAACCCCCATCCTGAGGCTATCCAGGAGCCCCCAGCCATCAGTCATCTTAGCAGCATACAAAAAGACACTTAGCACTTAGGAGATTCCAAGGGTTTCAGGAGTTGTGCACAAAGAAATGGGAGCAGAGAACACACACGTATTTACTATTACATCACAGTACACAAAAGGGCAGAGTTGAATAGCTGCAATAGAGATCACGTGGCCCTCAAAGTCTAAAATATTTACTATATGGCCCTTTAAGGAAAAAGTTTGCAAACCTCTGCACTTGATTCAAAAATTTAAGGAACAACCAAATGTGTGGCTCTAAATGGGATACCATTTTGGACATGACCACCAAGGGACATTTTTGGAACAACAGGAAAAATTTGAGTATGATTTTGGTACTAGTTAAGATGAACATTTCCTGAAATGGAAAGGTGGAGACTGTGATTGAAAAAAGCAGAGCACAAAAGAGTAGCCTCAGTATGATCTTATTTTGTTTGGTATGCCTACAGAAGATCTGGAAAGATAGACATGGTGGTGTTATGTGTGATTTGGAGGAACTGTATTAATCTGCTTTTGCATTGCTATAAAGGAATACCTGAGACTGGGTGATTTATAAAGAAAAGAGGTGTATTTGGCTCATGGTTCTGCAGGTTGTACAAGATGCATGACACCAACATCTGCTTTTGGGAGGATCTCAGTAAGCTTCCAATCCTGGTGGAAAGGGAAGGGGAGCCAGTGTGAACTCATTACCACAGGGAGGCCATCAAGCCTTTCATGAGGGATCCACCCCCATGAGATGGATGTTGGGAAGTGACCCAAACACCTCCCACTGGACCACCTCAACATTGGAGAGCAAATTTTAACATGAGATTTGGAGGGGACAAATATCTAAACTATATCAGGAATGGAATATGATGTTTTTATTTTCACTGTTGTTTGTATTTTGCATTTTCTTCTTGCACAGATATTTCTCATTTTTTGGTGTACTATGTAGTCTAAGATCAATGCAGTAGAGATTCTGGCATATAATAGTTACAGGTAGAAGTATTTTTGAGAGTGGAAGAGTTTGTAAATAACACCCAGGGAATAGAATTCCACTTGTGGAGACAGAAAAGAGAGTATAAGCTGGGCTAAAGAAATTCTCATGCTGGCCAGTGGCTCCACGTGTAATCCCAGAACTTTGGGAGGCGGAGGTGGAAGGACTGCTTAAGGCCAGCAATTCAAGACCAGCCTGAGCAACATAGCAGGACACAGTGGTCTACAAAAAAAAATTAGCCTGGTATGGTGGTGAGCACCTCTAGTCTCAGCTACTTGGGAGGATGAGGCAGGAAGATCACTTGAGCCTAGGAGGTCAATGCTGGAGCCATGATCTAAGCCACTGTACTCCAGCCTAGGTGACAGAGCAAGACCCTGTCTCAAAACAAACAAAAACCCCCACTGTTGGGGTATAGTTCTAAGGGGCAGCCACTTGTTATGCAAGTAGAAAAGAGAGAAATGTAGAAAGAATTACAATGGTCAGCTGTCTTAAACCAAAATCTAAGGTAATTTTCATAAAATGGGTTCAATTTTTCATGCAATTGTCCCATGTGAAGCTTGTTCCAGGGATTTAATATGATGTTTTTCAAAATATTGTTCAGAACTCATTATTAGGCTAAGAAATTAGTCTAGCGATTCATGGGCAGAATTTTTTAAATGACACAAACTGAAAGATTAAATATCAGAGTAAGTCATATACCAAGGATAGAATGCATAATATGATCTCATTTCTGTTTCAAAAGGAAAAAAAAAAACCTTGATATGTTGTATTTTTATGAATCTGTATAACAATCTATTAAAAAATTAGGGAAGGCTATACTTCAAACTTTTAATATGGTTACTTTAGGAGAGTGGGGCTAAAGGAAACCATACAGAAAAAAATTTATTTCAATTATTTATTCCAATAAAGTCACCTTCTTTAAGAAGTCTTTTCTTGCTTATTTTATCTGATGCTAATCCCTTTACTAATTTTCTTATCACCTTAGCACTAAAGCCACTCATTCATACTTTCCCAAACAGTCATTGTACTACGCCCCTAGGAAAAAAATATAAATACCATACCAGTATCTGCCTTAAGAGTTTGATCTAGTGGGAAAGGCATACTCATATTTAATTATAAATAATGTGGTATAAGTTTTAAGGAGTGAGTAGGCAGACAGGCAACAGGGTAGTTGGTAGGCAGAGGAATATTTTGGCCCCAAACTGCCACTCTAAAACCTTGTCAGAGGTAACAAACAGCATGCACAAGTGTTTATAGAGCAGCCCAGGGATGGGCTAGAAAAGTGGGCAGGACTGGACCACAGAAGGGCTTTGTATGGTGTGTAAGCATTTAGGCTATCCTGAGGAGCGTAAATGAAAGATTTGAAGCAAAAGAAACATTTAGCTGATTTGATTTTTAGATACACCAAAATGGAGTCTACATGGAGGATGGATTTAAGACATTAACTTGAGGCAGGAATTTGGTTGTATAACATAAACACACTTTTAAAAAGTTATGTGGCCTTTCTTTACGGAGTACTTCATGGCTCTTTATTCCATCTCCCTCATCAATTATATCAAAGGTTAGGATGGAAAGGCTAAGACACGGCAATGTCTTATTTGACAACCCCTCCCCAAACCCCTACTCCAGGCTTTCCCACAGCAATTTCAAAACCTTTTTCCTGGCACTTAACATATTCTCCCCTGCATTTGCTTTTGACTGTACAGTACATAGGTCTTAGGTCTCCAGTCTGAAAACTGCACCACTAGATTTTACAGTTCCACAGGACTTAGCACAACGTCTTTGAAAAAAAAAAATACTGCTTAAATAACTCTCAGATCTAAATGTATAATCCTAATCTCTTGATTGCCAGACCACATTCCCAATTGCCCAGATATCTCTACCTGGATGTCCTATAATTATCTCAAACTTAACCTAATCCAAATGGACCTGGGTACCTCTCTTCACCGCCAAACTAGTCATGCTTCCATTTCATATTTAAGTACTTTTCCAAACCCTGAGTCATCTTTGTTCACTCTCTACTACCGGCCATGAACACTCAGCTGCTAAATGCTGCACACATCTCTTCCATTTCTCTCTCTTTTCCATTACCCTAGTTTAAGCTCTTGAAATGCTTCCCTACCTCTCCCTATTTCCCACAAAACCTACATAATAGCTATCAGGATTACCTTGCTAAAGCAGAGGTGTGATCACTGTCATTTCCCACCTTCAGGTAGCTGGAAACCCCACAAAACGAGGATCATGCCCATTTAAATCCCGCAGCATTCTCCCTCTCGTTCTACTGATGCCGACTGGATCATTGTACTTGCCAAGTACAGTTTGTTTTTCTCCCCATTACTTGTGTTTTCTAGTTTCTCCACCAGATGGTGATGACAGTACAACTGGGAGCTTTGTGCCCTGTGTTCCTAGGCCAGTGCCAGGCCCACTTGAGGCGCTCACTAACTATGATATGAACGAATGAATGCTTGAGTGAATTGGTCCCCAGAAGCGGTCAGCCTCTCCGCCAAGGCAGAGGGGAAGGGCCGGGAGGTGCACGTGGGATGAATGGAAACATAGTGATTGGCCTTTTTGGAGTTTTCTTCTTAAAAAACTGAATACATTACAGATGTTGAAAACAGCACAAAAATCATAACTGTACGGCTTGTTAATTTTTACAAATAAATACACCCTCGTGAATCCAGAACCTAGATCAAGAACCAGAGCATTACCAGCACCCAGAAACCTCCCCGCGCCCTCCTCCACTGAGCGGCCCTTTCAACCCTTACAATGCCGGAGGGCGCAATTCCTGGGTCCTGTGACCTTGGTGACCGACGCCCGGGACAAGTCAGAAAGACCCAAGGGCGTGGAAAACGCTCCTCTTACCGATAAACTTGAAGCGACTCATGACTGCGCATGGAGGACCTCCCCAGCGGAAGCGGAAGTGGCCGCCGGCAACTCCGCCCTTCCGGCTGGCCCCGCTCAGTCACCCGCAGCAGGCGTGCAGTTTCCCGGCTCTCCGCGCGGCCGGGGAAGGTCAGCGCCGTAATGGCGTTCTTGGCGTCGGGACCCTACCTGACCCATCAGCAAAAGGTGTTGCGGCTTTATAAGCGGGCGCTACGCCACCTCGAGTCGTGGTGCGTCCAGAGGTAAGGGATGGGGACCCAGGACTCGGGGAGGTGACCCTCGGGGCCCCATGGAGGTGGAGAGGCCCCTGGGTACCTGGAGGTTCAAGGACTTCGGGAACGGAATTGGAAGGTGGCCTCTCGCTTCACAGAATCCTATGGTAGACCCGGGTTCAAATCCAGGCTTCGCCACTTATGGCCGGGAGACCTTGTAGAGTTGCTTGTCGGGTCTGGGCGTCAGCTTTTTGTTTAGTAAAACGGACGCACGACCAGCGCAGAGGGTCGCAGGAAAATTAAGTGAAATAAAGGAAAGTGCCTAAAATTGTAATTGTCATGGGTCCAGCGCTCGCTCAATCGTTTTCTTCACGATCTTCTCCTTTCCAATATTAACAGCAATAAACTATGCATTATTTTCTTCAGTCTGCAAAACTCTAGGAGTTAGGAATTATCTTAAGCTTATTTTACAGATAAGAAGATGAGCACAGCTGGTAACTTGCGCAAGGTGATAGAGTTTCTAAGTGTCTGAGCCAGGGTTAAAATTTAGGTCTTTCTCCAAAGCATCATCATTCTCCCACCCCTCCCATTAGCTTTTCTCTTTTTAGCTTCATCTAGTCCTTTTCATTACCTTTACATCTTTTTCACCTCTTACATAATTCTCTTTCGACCTCTATCCGTCTGAGACTAGTCTGAGAACATAGTGTTAAAATGTGTAGATTTTAATCACCTAAATTCATTGCAGGGTGGGCTAACAACCCAAGATGTGTGAGTGCCTCGCCTCCACTCCAGTCTTACGACTCTCCAAACGTAGTTTTATAAGAAGGCCTTCTGGGAAAAAAACTCTATGGAAAATGGAGTAGGCCTGGAAGAATTACAGAGGGTACCCTCGAAGCCCAGATTGCATATATGTGACTATTAGAAAATCACTGACATACTTCTCTTGATTTGGCAGGAAGATGGCCAAGTACAATGTGATGGGATTGTTAGTTTCTTCCTTGAGTTTTCCTTATTTATTTATTGATTTGACAGAATTTGCAATTCAGATTCTATGCTCTATGCTAAATATATAAATGTTAGTAAATCCATTTTTGAGCAGCAGCAGCTCACGGATTAGTGGGGAAAATGGACATGTAAACAAATCGATGATGAAGGAAGTTGAGCCATCAGGGATTCAGGTATCCCAACACAAATGGTAAATGTTTGAGGTGATGAATATCCAAATTACCCTGATTTGATCATTATACATTATATGGATGTATTAAAATATCACATGTACCCCATAAATAGGTACAATAATTATGTGTCAAAAAAAGTTAAACATGAAAAAAAGAATTCAAGCAATACTGAACTATAGCTGGGAATACTAAAGTCCATAGTTCTAGAGGAAAATGATATAAACTAGCTACTATGACAGTTATGGCTCAGCATTTTTTAGATCTGACATTCTTTCTCAATCCTTGCCTTAATTTCTTCCTCCATTTGCCCTCATTGTGCTGTTCTCTGTGGTTCCATCCTAGGCATACTGTGTTGTTGTATGTACTCGGGCAGCCTCATTTAGTGCTGTCACCACCTGCGCTCATTTGTCTCTAGAGCTGTAGTTCGAATTGCTTGTTAGATCACGACTGTTGGCTGGGCATGATGGCTCACGCCTATAATCCCAGTACTTTGGGAGGCTGAGGTGAGTGGATCACCTGAGGCCAGGAGTTCAACAGCCTGGCCTACATGTGAAACCGCGTCTCTACTAAAAATACAAAAATTAGCCAGGCGTGGTGGTGGGTGCCTGTAATCCCAGCTACTCATGAGGCTGAGGCAGAAGAACCGCTTGAACCTGGGAGGCAGAGGCTGCAGTGAGCCGAGATAGCCCCATTGCACTCCAGCCTGGGCGACAAGAGTGAAACTTTGTCTCAAAAAATAATAATAAAAAAAAAATTGAAAAGATCACCAACCGTTCTCTCAATCTCCATTTATCTAAATTCTTTGAAATCAAACTTGTTTTCCTGTCACTCCCCATTCTGACTCTTTTCCCAAATTCCCTGCCTCCGCTAATGGTATTATTAGTAATTCAGTTACTGAGCTTTAAGTCTCAGAATTGTTCTCAAGTATTTGCTCCTTATTCCTTTGCCAATAACACACATACTCATACACCATGTATAATTAGACACTGGTTTTTATAAATTCTCTTTCCAGTATGATATTAGTAACTGACATTATTTAACACTTGGGATGTACCAGGCACTTTTTAAAGTGTGTTTATCTTATTGACTGTTTATGACAACCTTAAGATATACACACTGTTATTGCCACTGTTTTACAGAGGAGGAACCCGTGGCCTAGAAGACTTTTTTTGTTTGTTTTTTTGTTAGACGGAGTTTCGCTTATGTTGCCCAGGCTGGAGTGCAGTGGCGCGATCTTGGCTCACCGCAAGTTCCGTCTCCCGGGTTCAAGCAATTCTCCTGCCTCAGTCTCCCGAGTAGCTGGGATTACAGGCATGCGCCACCACGCCTGGCTAATTTTTGTATTTTTAGTAGAGACGGGGTTTTGCCATGTTGGCCAGGCTGGTCTTGAACTCCTGACCTCAGGTGACCTCCACCTCAGCCTCCCAAAGTGCTGGGATTACAGGCGTGAGCCACCGTGCCTGGCCTTTTTGTTGTTGTTGTTGTTGTTTTTTTTTGAGATGAAGTCTCGCTCTTGTCCCCCAGGCTGGAGTGCAAATGGCACAATCTCGACTCACTGCAACCTCTGCCTCCCGGGTTCAAGCTATTCTCCTGCCTTGGCCCCCAGAGTAGCTGGGATTACAGGTGCCTGCCACCACGCCCGGCTAGTTTTTGTATTTTTAGCTGAGACGGGATTTCACCATGTTGGCCAGGCTGGTGTAGAACTCCTCACCTCAGATGATCCCCCTGCCTTGGCCTCCCAAAGTGCTGGGATTACAGGCGTGAGCCACCATGCCCGGCCTCATTTTTGTATTTTTAGTAGAGACGGGGTTTCTCCATGTTGATCAGGCTTGTCTTGAACTCCAGACCTCAGGTGATCCACACGCCTTGGCCTCCCAACGTGCTGGGATTACAGGTGTGAGCCACCGCACCTGACCAGAAGACAGTAACTTACCCCAAGTTACACAGCTAGTAGTGGCAGAGCTAAGATTCAGGCCCATACAGTCTGACTGGAGAGCCTATTCTCATAACTTGGAAGTCTCAATGTCTCCCCTGTCTCCTGTCACCATCACAGCTCCGTACTTTCAGGCCCTCGTCAGCTGTGTCCTAGATTATTGTCAAAACCTCCTAACTGATCTTTGCCCAGTTTCTTTAGAACTTGACTTTAACTTGCCTAAGTTTATGCAGCTAGTGTCAGAGTCAGGATACAAACCTAGCTCTGTATGAGCTAAGCAATACTGTTTCTGCCAAGTAACACCTTTCTTATTCATCTTTGTATCTCCAGAATTTAGCATAGTGACTAGCACAAGATAGAAGGAAATGGAAGTTGTCATTCAATGAATGTTGAATGATCCTGCAGAGGTTATAGCTTTTCTCTTGCGAATGCTCTTTTCTTTTTTTTTTTTTTTTTTTTTGTTTAAATCCTCATTCCATTGTTGGATGTAAGAGGAGAAAAATGGTTAGGGTATATATTTAATACAGTATTTTTTTGCTGCTGCTGTTTGGTGGGCTGTAGAGGAAGCAGCCATGATGATACGGCTGCTCCATTGGGAGGGTTGGGGTAGGTCCACTGCCCATCCAGAAGGTATCAGAAGTGCAGCCTCCTGTCAGACAGCAACACTGACCACGTGAGTAGGTAACATTTCTAATCTTCAAAATCATTTTGGTTTAAGAGACAAATACCGATACTTTGCTTGTTTGATGAGAGCCCGGTTTGAAGAACATAAGAATGAAAAGGATATGGCGAAGGCCACCCAGCTGCTGAAGGAGGCCGAGGAAGAATTCTGGTACCGTCAGCATCCACAGCCATACATCTTCCCTGACTCTCCTGGGGGCACCTCCTATGAGAGATACGATTGCTACAAGGTAGGTGAGAATTATGATGACTGCCTTCTGAGAAATAGACTTTGTTTCTTCAGTCCCACACCTCAGCCTCAGAAATCACTTGCCCTTCAAGGGGTAGCTAGGAGACTTATTTCCTGACAGTTGTCAGATGCAGGCCTACCTCATTTTATTGCATTTTGTTTTATTGTGCTTGGCAGATATTGTATTTTCACAGATTGAAAGTTTGTGGCAACCCCGTGCTGAGCAAGTCTGTGGGCACCATTTTTCCAACAGCATGTGCTCACTCCCTGTCTCTGTTTCTCAGTTTGGCAATTCTTGCAATATTTCAAACTTTTTTTTATTATTACTCTATCTACACACAGTTGTGGTGAACTGTGATCAGTCACCTTTGATGTTACTATTGTCATTGTTTTGGGGCACAAAAAAACCATGCCCACATAAGACAGCAGACTTAATCGATAAATGTGCGTGTGCTGACTGTTTCACCGACCAATAGTTCCTCCGCCTCTATCCCTCTCCTCAGGGTTCCCTATTCCCTAAGACGCAGCAACAGTGAAATTAGGACAATTAACGACCATACCATAGCCTCTAAGTGTTCAAGTGAAAGGAAGAGTTACATGTCTCTCACTTTAAATCCGTTACACGTCTCTTCCTTTAAATCAAAAGCTAGAAATGATTAAGCTTAGTGAGGAAGGCATGTTGAAAGCCAAGGTGGGTAGAAAGCAAGGCCTTTTCCGCTGGTTAGCCAAGTTGTGAATGCAAAGGAAATTAAAGGTTTTTTTAAGGAAATTAAAAGTGCTGCTCCACTAAACACACAAATGATAAGTGAAACTGTCTTATTGCTGATATGGAGAAAGTTTTAGTGGTTGGGACAAAAGATCAAACCAGCCACGACATTCCCTTAAGCCAAAGCCTAATCCAAAGCAAGTCTTTAACTCTTCATTTCTATGAAGGCTGAGAGAGATGAGGAAGCTGCAGAAAAAAAGTTGGAAGCTAATAGAGGTTGGTCCATGAGGTTTAAGGAAAAAAGCCATCTCTGTAACACAGATGTGCAAGGTGAAGCAACAAGTGCTGATGGAAAAGCTGCAGCAAATTATTACACAAAATCTGGCTAAGATAGTTGATGAAGGTGGCTATACTTAACAACAGATTTTCAGTGGAGATGAAGTAGCCTTTTTTTGGAATAAGATACCATGTAGAACTTTCATACCTTGAGAGAAATCAATGCTTGGCTTCAAAACTTCAAGGATAGGCTGACTCTCTTGTTAGGGACTAATGCAGTTGGTGGTTTTAAGTTGAAGCCATTGTTCATTTGCCATTCTGAAAATCCTGAGGCCCTTAAGAATTATGCTAAACCTACTCTGCCTGTGCCCTAGAAATGGAATAACAAAGCCTGAATTACAGCAAATCTGTATACAACATGGTTTACTGAATCTTTTAAGCCCATTGTTGAGACCTGCTACCATGTCTGCTAACACAACATCCATTCTGCAGCCCATGGATCAAGGAGTAATTTCCACTTGCAAGTTTTATTATTTAAGAAATATATTTTGCATAGTTATAGTTGCCATAGATAGTGATTCCTCTGATGGATTTGGGCAAAGTAAAATTTTCTGGAAAGAATTCACCATTCTAAATGCCATTGAGGATATTTATGATTCATGGGAAGAGATCAAAATATCAGCTTTAACGGGGTTGGAAGAAGTTGATTCCAACCCTTGTGGGTGATTTTGAAGGGCTCAAGACTTCAGCAGAAGAAGTAACTGCAGAAGTTGTGGAAATAGCAAGAGAGCCAGAATAGAAGCTGATCCTGAGAATATGACTGAATTGCTGTAATCTCATGATAAATCTTGAGCAGATGAAGAGTTGCTTCTTATGGATGAATACGAAAGTGGTTTCTTGAGATGGAGTCTCCTGGTGAAGTTTTTGTGAACATTGATGATAACAAAGGACTTCGCATAGCACATCAACTTAGTTGATTAAGCAGTAGCAGGGTTTGAGAGGATTGACTCCAATTTTGCAAGAAGTTCTTCTGTGGGTAAAATGCTATCAAATGGCATCACATGCTATAGAAGTGTTTGGTGTAAGGAAGAGTCAGTTGATGTCGCAAACCTCGTTATTTTAGGAAATTGCCAAAGCCACTCCAGCCTTTGGCAATCATCACCCTGATTAGTCACCAGCCATCAACATTGATATAATACTCTCCACCAGTAAAAAGATTGGTTTTCTGATGGCTCAGATGATTGTTGGCAGTTTTTATCAATAACGTATTTCTTTTGTTTTTGTTTGGGAGATGGTCTCCCTCTGTTGCCCAGGCTGGAGTGCAATAGCATGATCATAGCTCACTGCAGCCTGGATCCCCTGGGCTCAAGCAATCCTCCTGTCCTAGCCAACCAAGTAGCTAAGAAAACAGAGGCACAACACCACACCTAGCTAATTTATTTTATTTTTTGTAGAGATGGAATCTTGCTATGTTGTCCAGGCTGGTCTGGAACTCCTACCCTCATAGAATCTCCCTGCCTCAGCCTTCAAAGGGCTGGGACTAAAGGCAGGAGCCACCTCACCCAACCAATAATGTATTTTTAAATTATGTCTTTTTTTTGGTGGAGGGGGACAGAGTTTTGCCCAGGCTGGAGTGCAATGGCACAATCTCGGCTCACCGCAACCTCCACCTCCCAGGTTCAAGCGATTCTCCTACCTCAGTCTCCCAAGTAGCTGGGATTACAGGCATGTACCACTATGCCTGGCTAGTTTTGTATTTTTAGTAGAGACAGCGTTTCTCCATGTTGGTCAGGCTGGTCTCGAACTCCTGACCTCAGGTGATCCGCCTGCCTCAGCTTCCCAAAGTGCTGGGATTACAGGCGTGAGCCACTGCACCTGGCCTAAATTATGTACATTTTTTATGTATATTATGTGAGGTTTGCCACATCAATTGACTTTTCCTTTTGATAGCATTTTACCCACAGAAGAACTTCTTTCAAAATGGGAATCAATCCTCTCAAACCCTGCCACTGCTTTATCAACTAAGTTGATGTACTGTTCAAAGTCCTTTGTTATCAGTTAATCAATATTCACAAAATCTTCACCAGGAGGACTCCATCTCAACAGACATCATAATGCTGTTGGACACTTTATAGTATAGTATAAACAAAACTTTTATATGCACTGGGAAACCAAAAACATTTTGTGACTTGCTTTATTGTGATATTTGCTATATTGCAGCGGTCTGGAACCAAACCCCCAGTATCTCTAAGGTGTGCCTGTACTGTTTCTTAGGTGTCAGTTTTCTCTCTCTGAGACGTCATTAAGACTTTTCTTTCTACATTCAGATTTAAGGTCGTACAGTATACTTTTTGCTATAACAAAGTTCATTTTGGACTTTAAAGTTAACCAACTTGGATTGGTGCTTAATATTTCTGAGATACTCTAATTAAGAGTTCCAAGTAAGATAAGACTACTCTGGATATTTAGAGAAGGCAGGTAGGGGAGGAATGAAGCCAGTTCTCCTTGGACTGATGATGGTGCTATTTTTCAGCACAGTCTTTGACTCTAAGGTGTTTTCCTTTATCTTTGCTTCCTACTTATCCTCTGCTGTTCCTTGCTTAGAGTTAGAAACAGTCTGGTAGTTGCAGTGGTTATAAAAATATATCTTGATCTTTGTCTTACATCTCCTGAGCAGGCCCTGTCAGGGATAGGTAAATGTGTCCTGTGGATTGATACCATGATTTCCTCTCCTGACAGGTCCCAGAATGGTGCTTAGATGACTGGCATCCTTCTGAGAAGGCAATGTATCCTGATTACTTTGCCAAGAGAGAACAGTGGAAGAAACTGCGGAGGGAAAGCTGGGAACGAGAGGTGCGTTCTACTTGTACTTCGTTATTCCTTAGCTATGTAGATGGAGTGAAGTTTTGCTCCCCACAAGCAGAGGTCCAGATTCCAGCCATGACAGTTACTCTGGGCCCTTGCTTCTCAGATATACTTTAGTATCTAAGTGTATCAATTTAACATTTATAATCACCTTACAAGTAAGTTAAAGTGCATTCCCTGGTCGTTTTGGCTTTGTCTTTGATTTTGCTTCAGATCTCCTTCTCTTTAGTCCTTTGTCTGACTTTTTTGCCTTCTTGCTATACTTTCCCTCAACCTGCCTCTCCACTATTTTCTTAGGCATTTTTCAGTCATGTTAGGATGGTCAGTTATATTTTTAAAAGCTCAATCTTGCTGTAGTGTGAAGAATATATTGGAGAGGGGAAGAGGAGAAGCAGAGAGACCCTTCTAGGATTATTGCAGAAGTTTAGTCAAAAGGTTGTCATGACTAACACTAGGGTGGATGAAGTGGATATGGAAGGAAATTGACTCAGGACATCATTTGGAGGGATGTGACGACTGACTGGATGTTGAGGGTGGGTGAGGGATGGGGAGGAATCAAGAATGGTTTCTGGGGCAGGGTGCGGTGGCTCACACCTATAATCCCAGCACTTTGGGAGGCCAAAGTGGGTGATAGCTTGAGGTCAGGAGTTCATGACGACCAGCCTGACTAACATGGTGAAACCCCATCTCTACTAAAAGTACAAATAATTAGCTGGGCGTGGGGGCTGTGCACCTGTAATCCCAGCTACTTGGGAGGCTAAGGCAGGAGAATTGCTTGAATCCCAGGAGGTGGAGGTTGCAATGAGCTGACATCGCGCCACTGCATTCCAGCCTGGGCGACAGAGCAAGACTCCATCCCAAAAGAAAAAAAAAAGAGAGAATGGTTTCTGGGTTTTAAGCTTTAACATCTGGAGTTTGGTGATGTTTACTGAGATAGGGAAGATTGGGGAAGGGGGCACAGGTGTCAGAGCAGCAATCGAGAATTCATTTTGGAAGTGTGAAGTTTTGAGAATCCTGTGAGACATCAAGTGCAGATGTCAGAAGCCAACTTCAGATGTGGAAATCTGGAACTCCCAGGAGAGATTTGGCCTAGAAACAGAAACGTGGGAGTTTTCAGTTTTAAAAGCCATGGAGAGATGTATGGAATCCTTAGGAGAGAGTATAGAGAAAAAAGAAAAGGAAAAAGGATTCTTTGTGCATTATAATTGGGCAAAAGATTGTATATAAATACATTTGGGTTAGAAGTTTTGAAGATGACAGACTTGTGTGATAGCTTCCTTTTTTTAGTGAAATAAGAGGAAAAGCCCAGAATGAGTGGGTGCAGCATATTTGGAGAATGTGGACAAGATGTGATAGTCATGAGGCGAGGAAGAGCTTGCTGGAGAGTAGTAGGATGGCCAGGTGGCAAAGGCCCATTTGAGGTTGGGAATAATCAGTGGGTAATGACTCCGATTTGCTCCCATATCTTTTTTCTCTTTAGCAATACTAAGCTGTATGAGCACAGGCCTGAGGGTATATGGTTCGGTTTGTCTGTTGCTCAGAGAGTGACAAGGGACTTGAGGTTATTCGAAAGGAAGCTGTTGTCATGATGGAATCTAAGCTGAATTTAAAAAAAAACAAAGTCAAGCCAGTGGGGGCAGATGCAGAGAGGGAAGGCCAAGTTGGGAGGATCTGTGAATTGGTAGTCTGAGTTTCAAGGAGGCATTTAAACAAATGAGTGGGAAAGGGAGAGTGTGGTTGGATAGTGGGATATTTGAATTCATGATTTGGAAGTTGTGCTGGTTCTGGTGATAACACTGAGGATATTGACCTTTGGAAGTGTTTGGCCAAGGGGGACCCGAAGGAAGGGCACTGTGGCCAAAGGGGGCAGTGTTTTGTCAGAAATGTCTCACCGTTTAGAAGCTTGAAGTATATGCATGGTGAGCCGCAGGTGCATTCTGCAATTGATCACTGGGATAACATCAAACAATTCCTCCTTTACACATCCCATCACTTCAACACTATTAAGCAGCACGTGTGACTGGAGGCCCAGGGCAGCCACAATCCAGAATGGGTGATCTTCTGTTAGGACATTTATCTTGGCCATAACTAGAACTGGAGGTAGTAGGGCAGCACTTGGCAGAACTGAGCATATTTTTACATGTAATTTTGTGATTTATTTTTGTTCTTGGTTGCTAGGAAGGGGGCTTAGAATTAACATCCCCAGCATATTATGAACTGAGGTTTCTTAATGGTGCTTTTGGAGAACACTTAGCTGAGACACAACAATAAATGTTTTTCTGGTCAGTGGGTGGGGGCTGTGACAAGGAGAATTGGAATGATAGTTGTCATTTTTCTGTCTGCAGAATAAGAGGAGGTCCAGATAATGAGGTGATGAAAAGGGGTAGGGGGAAGAATAGGAAGGGTAGGCTTTGCTATTTAAAAGAATGGGAAAACCCTTAAGGAGACTTTTCTAAAAGTGTGGATATGAAAATAAAGCAGGTATATGTAAAAAACACTTTTCAATATTGTGATCAGATAGTGTGTAATGTCAGTGACACACCATAGACATAAAGCTGACCCTTCACTGCAGCAGACAGATTTTTATAGTCAATTAGATTCCTTTGGTAATGATTCCTTCCTTGCCTCCTTCTAGGTTAAGCAGCTGCAGGAGGAAACGCCACCTGGTGGTCCTTTAACTGAAGCTTTGCCCCCTGCCCGAAAGGAAGGTGATTTGCCCCCACTGTGGTGGTATATTGTGACCAGACCCCGGGAGCGGCCCATGTAGAAAGAGAGAGACCTCATCTTTCATGCTTGCAAGTGAAATATGTTACAGAACATGCACTTGCCCTAATAAAAAATCAGTGAAATGGTCTCTGGTATGACTGACGTTCTTCTAAGAATTACTGTGATGCCAAGTGACTGTGCCACTGTCATTGTTTTATCAATCGTGCATGTAAAGAAAATGACAGGACATGTAGTCAGTCAGCTGTGTTCTCTGCAATAAATCACTGATAGCATATGTTACCAGTAAGGAAAAACTGAGGCAGAACCAGATTGAGGCGAACAAACTCTCAAGTCAAAGGCCTAATTAGCTGTGGTAACTAGAAGGAATAAACAAAGCCAAGAACAGAAATACTGAGGATTTAAAAATAACCTTTTTGGTTTTCTAAAGATTTCACTAATGGAACTTAGTTTTTATTAGAAGAACAACTCTCCCTAAGAAGTACATAGTCAACAAATAAGCATGGAATTTGTGGAGTTCTGTCAGGGGTGGAGGTTTGATGGTTGGGGTTAAATGGTCCAATCTGGGATAAAACTTTGTGGCGCTTATTTTAGAAGCAGTTTTCCAGCTTTGCTTCTGCTACCGTAGCTTGGATTGTCTGCGGACTCAAAGGTAAGGGAATAACAGAACTCCTTAAATGTTTCAGAAGCTTTGTTTTTGTTTTTTAAAGATAAAGCAGTTTTTAAAACTTTCAACCCAAAACAGCTGCTTTTAGTTCTTGATCCCTCATTAGCTAGAACTGTTTTCAAATAGTTTCAGGCAACTAATGATCTTATAGCCATCACAAAAATATTTTGTCACTTTTCTACGTAAGCTCAATTTGAGTCCCAGTCCATCTTCTAACATTTGACTAAGACCTCAAACTGAATTGTAACAAGACTTGAAATACAGGACTTTTTTAATCTAGTGGTTCTTTATTTATAACGTAGGCTGAAGCAATTGTTACAATGTAGGAGGGAGACACATTACACAATTGTTATTTATACAAGTTTAGAACAAAAAACTGCACAGGGAGAGGTCAACTCTCAGTACAAACTAGCAACTAAAGCACAATAATTTACTGTTAGAAACGATTTCTTTCTTTTTAGCTGTGACACTGCTTTTACAATATGCAAAAACACAAGCAGAACTACCCAAGGTGTGTTGTCACATTCTTTCTACATTGAATTTGGCAACATTTTATTTATTCAGATTATACTAACGTTTAAAAACTAAACAAGTGAAAAGCTGTACCAAGGTACAGTTACATCCATTTATTTCAAAGGTTTAAAATACCACTTTTATCTATTGTGATTACCTTGCAGCGATTTCTGCTTTTGCAAAAACCATCTCAAGCATCATATGCACAATGCATCAGCTACTTTTAGTCATCAAGATTGGTGGGCTAAACCACAGGCACTACTGTTGTTTATATTCTGTAAAAGGAGCTTGTTTTTCAAAGAAAAAAGCTTAAATAGTTTCTAATAATCATGCCTTTGCTTTAAAGCCGTAACATAAAATGTCCTTGAGCAATCGCAGCAGTGTTCAATGTTAATATATAGAACAATGACCATACGGTACGTTACTCTCACATCCAATGCAGTTATGTGTTAAAGCATAAGATTAGGTAATTGAGGGTTAGAGCCAACAGGAATCTGCAGGGTGTATGAAACCCACCAAACTCCTCCTCTGCCTTGAGAGGGTTCGGTCAGAAATGTGCCCTGTTATGACCTGACTGCTAAGGGACTTGCTTGCTTTCTTAAACACTATTGTCTTCAAATGTGATCCCTTTAAATCTACAAATCTCTGTTGGCTTTAGGGGATGGGCAGTATAACAAATTTAACTTCCACTTAGAAAAGACAAATCTTTTCCAAAAAACATTTACCCAGAATACAAAAAAAGGACAGTATAGTGGTCAGATTCCCAGTGACAATAAACAAATCCTCCTCTCTTCAATGTTTACTGTAAAGCCAGTTAACTGCCATTTATTTGAAAGAAGAAAAGAAAAACAAGCCCCCAGATTGGTAAACACATTGGCAAGTTGCTAGACTCCAAGCTGGCTACCCTTGTCAAATCTGTTCGAGTTTTTTCAAAATACTTGGGCTTTTTAACGCACCCAGCCTGCTGGGCACAGTTAAGTAAAAGGCATTTACTATAATCTAAGAATTCCCTGCTATTATCATTTTTAAATGTTTTCACATTTTTAAAACTGCCTTACCCTTTTGGATGTATTTGGATTCCATAAAGGTGAGTACAATCAACGAGAAACTGAAGTGGGAGATTCTACGACTGCCCAGAGGCAGCAGCATGCATGGGGCTGGTTGTGGGTGCTGTGTGCAGTCCAGAGGAATCATGGGAGAAAGGAAGTCAAGTCCTTAAACACCCTACAGAAACAAACACTGCAATCCAGTATGGCTTATTCGGATGCATTTACCATGAAGCTACCAGAAGAAATTCAACCTACGAGGCTACTCTTAAATGTAACAGGATCGGCTATGTTGACGATGTACCCCTCCCATGGCCCTCCCCCCAATCCCAACACAGTCTACCATTTCCAGATTTACTTCACTCTGAATATTGCTCATCAATTGTTACTCCTGCTCTTTTCATCCAGAACATAGTATATTTAAATGAAGATTTTACCTCTTACCCATTTAGTTTGTACATTAAAATAACTTGCATTTGCTTCTAAGCTAGACTACTACAATGCATCTACAAAAGCTTGTGGGGAAAAAAAAAGAAGAGTGAAGTATAGTAAATCCTTTTCTAAAATTAACTACTTCGTGGTTCCCCTGCCCCAACCCCCTTTATGCATTTAAAATTTTACAAAGACTTGTAAAAAAGTTAAATGGAATTTGGCACCTTCAGAAAAATCAAAAGGGAAACTAAGATTAAAATGTGCAGAAAGAAAATTGTCAATATTTACAAATTAAAAGATCAAGATTATGTCAGTTACATAGGTTGGTTTTAATTCTTATCTAAAGGTGTCGAGTACTTTCAAAAGAGCTATATTCCGAGTTGCCTACAAAATCTTTTGTTTTATTATAGAGTGGAATGGATCAAGACAAATTAGGTTTTATTAATGAAACAGTTCATTCCCCACCGGCGCATTTCTTGTGAACCTAAGAAAAGCGAGGGGCTGAGCGATCGTTTGTCGTGGTCTTCTTCAGTTTCACGCCCCTTCGGATGGCGTTCAGCATGTCTTCTCCTTGTGGAGTATCCCTTGGGCTCAGGTCTGCAGGGTCACTCTCTGGAATCTGGCCTGGGGAGACAGTGGCACTTGGGGGTTCCCGTTCCTGGTCTTCAGCTTCACTTTCTGGAATTGCCTGTCTGTGCTCCTCAGGGATACTGGGCTTCGGGCCTGGAAGTGGAGGGTTAACGGAAGCTTGGCCGCTCCACATTGAGGAGGGCATGCTGGTGACACCTTGGGGGCCCTCACCCACAGATGGCGACTCAGGGCTGTGCTCCCCCCGCTCTTCTGGCCCATCTGGAGGGGCTGGCAACACCCCTGGGAGGTCTGGGACGGTTGGGGTCTTGACAGGGATCACGGGTGTCTTGATGGGGATGGGACCAGCTCCAATGGTTCCCCGGCGGACAGAAGGCTTGGTGGAAGGGGTCCGTCGGATAGTTGCAACCCCTGGAGTGACCATAGCAGGTCCCAGGGTGGTGGGGAGGCCAGCAGTTGAGGCTGGACGCTTGGCTTGGAACATCCGTCGGTAGGACTGGCTGATGTCGCTGTTTCTTGGAATGGTGGAGGACTTGTCGAACTCCTGCTGATCTGCCTCCTGGTCACCACTTACAGAGAAATAATCATAATCTGAAACTGATTATAGGATTTGATTAGACATATTCAAGACAGCAGCTGTGCTTTTTTGATTCTTCTGGGCTGGGAGGACAAAAGGCACGCAAGGCAGGGTACACACACAGTCTCATCCCAAGCTTCCCCCAGGCTTCTCTACCATCTTCAGAAAGCCTCACCAACTAAGAACTCCGTGGCAGGGATCTTTGCTTTGTTCACTGATGTGTCCCAAGTACCTAGAACAGTGCTGGACACGGTAGGCACTCAAATATCGTCAATGGGGAAGAAGGTAAAGCTGCTAGGCTGCAGCGAAGCTACCTGCAAGCGTCTCTGGGAGGAATAAGGGGGATGAAAGAAGACAAATTCTCCAGTCCAGAACTCAACGTGAAGATCAAACCTCAAATAGACTAGCCTAGGCTATAACATCTCCCTGATAATTAACTGGAGAGGCAAGGGCTAGACAAAGAACAAAGCTACTGACAGTGAGTCCCTGACAATAAGGGACAAAGACAGTTTCCATCAGTGTCATGTGCTCACTTCCTTGTAAGACCAATCTCAGGATGATGTGGGAGCTTACAGATTAAACAGCTCACAGCCCTGATTCTGAACCACCGTACTATTGATAATTTGGGCTGGATAGTTCTTTGTTATGGAGGACGTGGTGGGGAGGGGCCGTGCTGTGTATTCTGGGATGTTTAAGCAATATCCCTGCCCTGTGCCCACTAGATGCCAATAGTACCCCTCCAGTTGTGACAACCAGAAATGTCTACAGACATTGCCAGATGTCCCCTGGGGAATAAAATCACCCTCCAATAAGACTCACTGTCTTAGAGGTTTTGAATGATGAATGGCATAGCTTTTGGTCAATTATCATAGATATATTCTAGCTGTTAGATTTTCATCTTGCCTGACTTGTGTGTGCAGTGGACTTGAGGATGAAGGAGGCAGGTTTGATAGAGGATTTGGCTGGAATAGGTTAAGAACTTGGGCATTACACTCTAACACACTTAGGTTCAAACTCCAGTTCTACTTATTGGTTGTGTGAATATGAGCGAGTTATTGAGCCTTAATTTCCACTTCTGTAAAATAGGGGTGAAAATACCTACCCCATAAGTGGCTGTAAAGATTAAATGAGAAAATAACCATAAAGTGTGTAGTGCAAAGTGCTAAAACAAAAATGAAGCTATTCCTTTGAGACAGGGTCTCATTTTGTTGCCCAGGCTGGAGTGCAGTGATGCAGTCATGGATCACTGCAGCCTCGACTTCCCAGGCTCAAGCAGTCCTCCCACCTCAGCCTCCAGAGTAGCTGGGACCACAGGTGTGTGCTGCTACACCTGGCTAATTTTTGTATTTTCTGTAGAGACAAGAGTTTTGCCATGTTTCCCAGACTGGTCTCGAACTTCTGCAGCTCAAGCAATCTGCTCACCTCAAAGTCCCAAAATGTTGAGATTACAGGCGTAAGCCACTGCCCTGGCCTGAAGCTATTCTTATTACAGCACATGTCTCCATTCAAATTGGAGACTGCTGTATATGATGCTGCAAAACGCAAAAAGCTGTGAAAGTCCAGATCCCTTTATTTATTATTATTTTTTTTTGAGACAGAGTCTTGCTCTGTCACCCGGGCTGGAGTGCAGTGGCGCGATCTCAGCTCACTGCAAGCTCTGCCTCCTGGGTTCACGCCATTCTCCTGCCTCAGCCTCCTGAGTAGCTGGGACTACAGGCGCCTGCCACCACGCCCGGCTAATTTTTTTGTATTTTTAGTAGAGATGGGGTTTCACCATGTTAGCCAGGATAGTCTCGATCTCCTGACCTCGTGATCCACCTGCCTTGGCCTCCCAAAGTGCTGGGATTACAGGCGTGAGCCACTGCGCCCGACCCCAGATCCCTTTCTTATATGGCAGCTACCTGACAACTACAGATGAGCTCCCCAAAGCATTCCCAGATGACGAAAACAATCCTGACACCTGTTAGTTAGCGAGTGGTGGGTTGTGGTTAAAATGGACCAGCAGTTTTCTATCTCCTCACCTGGTGCTGCTCAGAAAGCCTAAGTGCACACCCCAGGCTGCCTCGTACCTTGGGAAGGGATGGTGTCCTCAGAGCAGCAGGGGGTGGTTGTCTGGGTGCTGTAGCCGCTGGAGCACTGAAGCGAGTCCCGGCTGCTCCTCTGGGTGTCCAGCTGCAGGCCCCGAGACAGGGCCAGGGCCAGCTCCTCACAAGCCTCCATCTCCTCACCAGGCTGCAGGTTGGAGGAGAGAAATACACAGGTTGCTTTAGGGGGGGGGCTCAACAGCACTCCTGTTCTGCCCCCGTGAGCACTACATGTCTGTGGGGCCAGGGGGCTATTGACTTGCTTGGGTCCCACTCTGACCCTAGAAAGTTCTGCCTCTCTCATTCCCACACAAGGTTTTTTTCCCAGGGACTTTGCTGTAGAGCAGGAAGTCAGGGAATGGAGCCCAGGTCCCTCCAGCTGCAAGGCTGCCTTGGCCCCCCAGTTGCTGGCCAGAATGTGATCCCCAGCCAGGCTGAGGTGGCCCCAACCAGCTACTGAGAACAAGAGCATCACCCTGGTGGCAGCCGATACAGTCATGCTCCGTGGTCTCTGAGCCTCCTCAGCTGCTGCAGGTGGGCCGCTGGCGGTAGTGGGTCCTCCCCCGTTGGGGTCCGGTTCTCGCTTCTCTTTGCGGCGCTGCAGGGTGTTCACCAGAGGCTGGTCATAGGGCCCAGGCTTAGCCCAGTCCTATGCAAAACAAGTGCGGTCAGGAGCCAGGGCCTCTGCCTCCACTGGAGGGCTGCGGGGACCCCATAGACAGCTCCCCAGAGAAGGCAGCTGGTCCCCTTAAGGGGAACCTCCGGCTGGGACAAGCCACAGGCCCTCTGCATGCCCTCTCCAGGCTCTAAAGGGCAAGGAATGGAAACCCTTTGGGAGCCCCCTGTGTACCTCCCTTTTCCTCGTCTCTGCCCAAAGATTAAAAACCCTCACCCACCAGGTGGCAGCAGGAGACCCGGCAGCCACCTAACAGGTGACCGGTGTAAGCTAAGGGGACCCACCAGTGGGCAGTACATCGTGCTTCTCCTGTCTGAAGGGACCAGCGCTCCTTAACAACCCAGATGGCTTCCCGTTAGGGGAATGGCCACCAGCGAGCACTAAAGCAACATCAGCCCTTCTCCCTCCATTCCCAGGAAACCAGCCTCAAAGGGCATGGCAGGCTCCCTGCCCTCTCAAGCCCTCAGAAGGAAAGGAAGGCGCCCAGGGGCAGTAGAAAGATTCCGAGAAGCCTTGAGAGGCCCACACCGCCTGTGAGGGCTAAAGTCAAAACCTGCTTAAAACGCTGGCAGCCAAGGGGCCTACTTTTCAAATTAGGGTCCTCCTCTCAAAAGAGAGCAGATTATCCTCCTGGAGGAGCATTGATCGGACTTGCTAGGGGATCATTTTCAAAGTTCGTCTTTATATTAAAGCAAACATGTTTGAACACTCAAGACTAAAACTAAAGTCTGCGTGTACTGTTAAGTTCAACATGATCACCCCAAACCTGCTTTGGGTTATGGTTCTGTTACCACAGCCCAGCAGGGAGCTCATTAGGGAAAATGGGAAACATGGCCAGAAGGAAAGTCCCCCCTAAACCCCCTAGAAGCTCTGATCATGCTGACACCCTCAGGTGGCCCCCGGGAGGGACCAACCCATAGATTTCAACTTGATGCAAAACTGGGCCTTTGGACTTGGAATTGCCGCTGCCTGCGGTGCACACTGCACTGCCGTCCATCAGGGATTGACCAAAGTCCCCTGAAGGAAGACCCTCAGCCCCAGCTACCTGTGGAAATTGCTGTCTTAGAGCTGCCGGCTGCTTTCTGCTTCTCCCCCAATGGGAGTTTCCTGAGGGAGAGGCATTATGGGGAAGAAGGCAGAGTGTGAAAGGAAGGGGATGAGGGGATAGTCGGGGTGAGGGGGTTGGAACAGAAGAGGGGTGAGCACAGAGGCAATGACGGGGAGAGGAGGAGGGGGAGAGACACAAACCTTCCAGCTAGGGATCTGAGATGACGGGAACATGCCGGGCCCAATGGTGTAATAATGAGCGTAGTCTGGAAGGTGGACAGAGGTGACCCGAGGGAGCAGGCGGGAGGCAGGCAGGCAATGAGGGAAAAGGCCTGCACCCGTGGGCCCCACGTGGGACTCACTTGATAAACTATAGTGAGAAAACCCGTTAGACAACTGGAAACAAACAAAAAAAGGGGGGGGGAAGGAAAAAAAATTAATATAACAGGATGAGTGCGGAGATACAAAATGGCATTGACATTCAAGGGAGGGGAAACCTGAATATTTATAAATAAAACAAACATTGGGGCTCTGCTGCTCACGGATGATCTGTGATGCAAGAGAAAAGAGCCGGGGTGCAAAGAATGCACATGAGTTTGACAGCAAATAAGCATCTATGTTTGACCTACGTTTTAGAAGTTTGGAAATTGATCAGTGCCCTCAATTTGTGGCCTTGTCAATGGTTTTTGATAATGTAACTAATGAAGCCTCATTTAATGGTGATAGTGATTTGCTCATTTCATTATGCAAATTTAAAAATTCCAAAGCATCTTCAAATGAATCTGTTCATTCTAGGTTTCCAAAATCATCGCATTGCTCAGGAGCACATTCTCAATCAAGGGCAGGGGGGTGGGGGTGCAAACTAAAAAGCGGAAAAGCACACAGCCTCTGACACAGTGACATGGCTCATCCAACGGTCTGGTGGGTGGCTCGGGAAGGGAGGGAGGAGGATGGACAGGCACGCAACACCTGGTCTGGGAGAAAGCCTTCACACCTCCAAATTCCCCATACCCCTTCCTCTCCCTTGAGACAACCATGTGGTCATTGTCCAGCAGCCAGGCACTCATTCTAGAAAATGCCCTCAGCCTTGTCCCACCCTCTGTCCCCAAGAGGAGCCCCACTCTTGGTGTCGATTCTGAGCTTCCAGGTTGCCGCGGCTGTGAGGGCTGTCTGAGCAGCAGGCAGGGGGACCAGGGAGAGTGGGGCCGCTGTGGCTGCCACCCGGGCGGTCACCTTCTCTGTGGACACCCAGGCACCCATGGTGGAGCCCGAGCTGACAGAGGTGGGGGAGCTGCACTCGCTCACTGACTGGCAGGTTTCCGAGGCTTCGGAGGAGGCCGAGCTGGACGAGTTCTGCAGCAGGGGAGGGGCCACACGAGGGGACCAACAGAAACCGAGCCACACACCACCAAAATATAATAAATAAAAAAAGGAATGGGGATGGGAGTGGGGAAGGGCACACACAGAGAGAAAGAGACAGACATATACACAGAAGAGGGGAGGATGAGAGAAGCAGAGGGTTAGGGTTACTTTTCCCCCAAAGTTGCATCCATGCAGAGGCTTTCGAGCCCTTGAAAAGAAGCGTGCGACCCGGCCAGCCCTAGGTCACTAGACTGTGGGTCCCCAAGGACACGGATTTGTGTGTCTTTTGCTGGGACCCAGAAGCATGCCTGGCACCGAAATATCTGGTCATGGCATTGGGACTTCGTGCTCTCTTGGGTGTTTCTTCACGTGCCACAGGCCCAGGTCCCCAGGGAGGCCCCGCCTGTCACCTCTCTTATGTGCATAGGTGTTATTTATTGCATGAGGGCGGACCCCAGCTCGGGCTTTTGCTACATGTCTGCCTGGAATGGCTCGACTTCCTGGAGTCTCCTTTCATCAAATGCAGCCTGTGGATCCATGAGGGGTGGTTTCCAGCTATGAAGCCTCATCAAGACAGACTTTTAGGTTTCTCATCCTGGAGTGTGATTTTGGGGTTTGGGGCAGTGAAGCCCTCTGGTCAGCACAATGTTTCTGGTGGCCATTGTGGGGTGGAATGAACCATCTCTGGAGAGGTCTCATTTGGGAAACCATCGCTTTACACTGATCTGATGGAACCCCAGGTCCCTGCTGGAGTCCTAGTCAGCCACGGCATGCGCTCCCAGTCTGGCTTCCTGATGTTCAGCTGGGGCAGGGACTGTTCCTATGATCTCACCTACACCCAAGTTTCTTCTAGTTCTGGACCTGGCACATGGCTGGTGCTCAAAACATAATGAATGAGTGACAATGATCATCTCTGTCACGTAAGTTGGGTCTCCTGGGCACTGCTTTGCATCCATCCAGGTACTTGCTTTAAATTTTTTCACTGTTAACTGCAATCTCTGGCTTAACCTCAGTTTGTTTAAATAAGCTGACTCCTCTCTATTGTAATTTATCTGAAAGTGTTCCTGTATTCACCATCAAGGAGGCCAGAATCATATTTCTGTCCCTTTCACCTACAAAAGAAAGGTCCCTACAAAGGAACAGAGATTTCGCTTTCCTGTCCTGTAAGGGCAAGGAGACAATCAGACACTCAACAATGTGTGGGGCTCAGTGGACCCAAAGCAAGGAGAGACTCCACGGTGGACGGACATCCCAGCTGCACTCTGAGCTCAGTGTCTGGTTAGCAGCCCAGGATTTGAAGATGGAAGGTTTGGATTTAAGTCACATTTGTGCCAATTCCCAGTCGAGAAACTGAACTTAAAAAATTTGAGGTTTAGAGGGCTTTATCAACAAAAAACAGCCAGATGTGGTGGCTCATGCCTGTAATCCTGGCACTTTGGGAGGCCAAGGCAGGAAGACTGCTTGAGGCTAGGAATTGGAGAACAGCCTGGGCAAGATAGCAAGACCTCATCTCTACAAAAAATAAAAAATGTAAAAGAGGAAAGGAGTGAGGGTTGAAAAATTGCCTATCAGAGACAATGCTCACTATTTGGGTAATGGAAATAGAAGCCCAATCCTCACCAGTATGCAAGGCACATGTATTCTCAAATCTAAAATAAAATTAGCCAAGCATGGTGGCACATGCCTATAGTCCCAGCTACTTGGTAGGCTGAGGTAGGAGAATTGCCTGAATCCAGGAGTTCAAGGTTACAGTGACCTATGATCCCGCCACTGCACTTCATCCTGGGCAACAGAGTGAGACCCTGTCTCAAAAAAAACGAACAAAAATAAAACAACAAAACAGTAACCCACCGCAGGACTGCAGGTTCAGATTTCTTTGGAATTATGCTCATTTTTTATAAAGAACCTCTTGACTCAGATGGAATAAATGGCTCTAGGGTGAGACCCTCATTGAAGACATGGCCCCACTCCTGGGCACAGATGGGTGAGGGCACAATTTGAAGAGTGGAGGGAGGTAAACCAGAGAATTCTGAACAAATTCCATCACTCGGCTTTCATCTCAGACCTGTGTTACTCAGTAGAGAAATGAAGGGCTCCTGCGCCTCCTAGATGTATGCCCCCTTTCTCCCTAATAAAGGGGAGGTTACTGCCTTCAGGAGATTGTACCCTCTGGCTAATGTGATCTGTACAATGACCTTCAATTTCCCCTTTACCTTATAATAATAAGCAGTCGTAATGCCTTTCTTAAAAAATAAGAATTCTCTATTAAGTTTTGTAGCATCCCTGAGCTCATTAAAACTACCCTAGTGGCCGGGCGCGGTGGCTCATGCCTGTAATTCCAGAATTTTGGGAGACCGAGGTGGGCGGATCACCTGAGGTCAGCCTGACCAGCCTGGCAAAAGCCCACCTCTACTAAAAATACAAAAGTTAGCTGGGAATGGTGGCGCGTGCCTGTAATCCCAGCTACTTGGGAGGCTGAGGCAGGAGAATCGCTTGAACCCAGGAGGTGGAGGTTACAGTGAGCCAACATTGCACCACTGCACTCCAGCCTGGGGTGACAAAGCGAGACTGTCTTAAAAACATAACATGACAAAACAAAAAGCTACCCTAGAGTTGCTAGCCACGCATGTCTTGGGCACAGGTTTTCAGATTTAAGTAAACCCAATATGCCCTCTTCTGCTTCCCTCCATGCCATGGGAAACACTCTGTTCTACCCCATCCACACTCACAGTCTTGGAAGGGAAGGCTGCAGCACGTGGCTTCTCCTTTTCAGAAAGGGGCGTCAGTGCACACTACTATGTTAATTTGTCAATTAAACACACACACACAATTATGCTGCACACTAGAACAGCCCGGAGGAACTGCACATTCCAGCCCTCCTCCCGACCCTTTGCCCTCTCTGCTTGTGAGCAGCACATATGGTTTAGTGAAGCACACAGCGGGGAAGAGGAGCTCCTTACAGACCAAGCCAAGCACCCCAGGTGGGACACGCACTCTCAAGCACTCTCAAACTATAGCCGTGGCTCTTGGCTCTGAGTGCGTTTAAAATTGAGTGTGTATCCAAGGAAGGCAGACAGAGGCCACAGTCCCCAGGATGGCTGAAAAATGCTAATGGGAGCGCTGAGCTGTGAGGAGAGGAACGCAGAGCTCTGACATGGGTTTCCCAGCAGGTGGGGCTGTGGGGCACCCAGCATTCTGTATGTAGAGCTACTTGCCAAGTTCAAGGCCGACACCAACCCAATGACACTAAGGGAGAGAGGACAGAGAGAGGATCACATACATTGATGATGCACATGAAGAGTGTTCAGATGCCCTGGCCAGCTCCTGCGTTCTGCTCCAGCTGGAACCACTGGGCTGGGCTGGGCCTAGCACCATTAAACCCAGCTGTAGTTGAAGAGATTCTGCCACACCTTCCCTTCCAGAATCTAAGTGCCAACAGAATTATGTGCAGAAGCTCTGATGATTCATTCTCATTCTCAACACAGATTGATAAAAGGAACCTGAGAGCGCCAAGGGATGGTATCGGAAGCGCTATTCAACCATAGAATCTCAGCCATTCAGGGAGAACCTGAGATGTGGGGGAGGAGGTGTCCCCATTGTGCAATGCCCTTTAATTATAGCATTTAATTATGCCAAGCTGGGCACTTACAGGGACGCCTGAGAGTGGTCAAACCTCTTTCAATCCATCTACTTACGTGAGAGCTCCCCAAATCGATGTGGTAATGCAACCATTACCACCATGGAGACAGGCTTCAAACCCACTTATAGCACCTCTCCCTTTAGGGGAACAATACATCTAAAGATGAGAAATTAAACCAGAGGTTTCTCAAGTCAGTGGGCAGGGGATTGTCTAAGCCAAGGTGCTTCTTTGGTTCTGGCCACTGACAGTGGTCAGGACACCAGGTGTGACAGCTGCTCCTGGAGCCAAGGGCACCCTTACCTGGTTGGGGGCCTCTGGCGGCATGGGGGATGGTGACTTGGACTGGAAGGCATCCTGGGATATGAATCCTGAGTCATGGGAGGACACGCTGGACAGCCTCACAGGAGCCTGCTGGGCCAGGTTGGAGCTGCGGTAGCGGTAATGTGAGCTGGGGGAATGCGAGTGGGAGCCGCTGGACCGGGAGTCACTGCTGTTGACACTGTTCAGGCTGCTGTGGAGGACAAGCAGGGGTGAGGGGTGGGCACGGAAGGTAAAGAAAGGGGAGCAGTGGTAAGAGGAAGGAGGAAGGAGGGGAACAGATGAGGCAGAAGAGAGAGAAGCACAACATAATGCAATTAGCTCTCTGCCCTGGAGATGCAGTGCAAACCACAAAACACGTTTTCAAAACACCAAATCATGAAGGTAGTCAACAAAATGCTTTTCCAGGTGACCCAGGGGGAAATACAGCTGCCAGGACTCAGGTCTCCGATGGTAACCATGTGGCATTCTTACGAGGGAGGTCTGGGGTTCTAAAACGTCAAGTGCGCCCAACTCTGCTGCTTCGCCTACCACCAAAACGAGGGGAGCTGATGTCAGTAGCAAGAAAAGGGACAGGGTTAATCTGCCTGCAGGAACCATGAGCCTGCAGCAAAAGTCCACTGGGGCTTCAGCATGACTGGAATGTTCTTGGATGGACCATCTGGGTCCACATGACCAAGGCCAACCCAGCTAAGCACTGCCGATGGATTTGCTGAGGTGATTTCATCCTAGCTGAGTCTGGTCAAGCCCGCTGTCAAGAACATCAGCAAATCAACTCACTATGTTGGTGTGCATATGTTTTACCTTTTAACAAAGTGATGCTTTAATTAATGTTTTTACTCTGACCCCAGCTGTTTCTGTGTTAAAATATCTGTGGGTCTGGCACAATAGCACACTTGGCAAGAGGCAGGCAGCTTTCAGCGACTAAGGGCAATCAATGCTCAGCTGTTTGCTCTTGAAATGGCACAGTAAACAGGATGTCAAATAATGACACACCCGCTCTGGATTTCTGTCTGCCTTCCATCTCCACTCAAAAGAAACATGCTCCTGGCCAGGTGCGGTGGCTTACGCCTGTAATCCCAACACTTCAGAAGGCCAAAGCGGGTGGATCACCTGAAGTCAGGAGTTCAAGACTAGCCTGGCCAATACGGTGAAACCCCGCCTCTGATAAAAATACAAAACTTAGCCAGGCATGGTGGCAGGCACCTATAATCGCAGCTACTTGGGAGGCCAAGGCAGGAGAATCACTTGAACCCAGGAGGCAGAAGTTGCAGCGAGCTGAGATTATGCCACTGCACTCCACCTGGACAACAGAACGAGACCCGATCTCAAAAAAAAAAAAAAAAAAAAAATGCTCCACACTCTGTATAGTAACTTAGATCATAAAAAGCAGAAAACAGACTCCCATGGTCCAAACAAACGGAGCTGAAATAAAAAGAGCAGTTGTAGAGGCAGCAGCAGGGATGAAGTAAATAACTAGGGCTGGGATAGGAAAAGTCATGGTTTCTGCTCCTAAGCCTGCAAGAGACTCTGGCTTGCAAAATCTGGCAGCTAATAAGGTACTCAAGGGCCGCGTGACTGTTCTACACTAGAATTACTTGGTGCAAATGTTCAGACAGACATAGGGGAGCGTGCTGGAGGAAATCGCTGCAGTGAGGAATAAATATCATGATTTTTGACTTTCCCCTCCAGTCAGCCAGAAGGCGGCAGTTGGGGACCGACAGTAAAGCTCACAGCAACTCCACCCCGGCAGCCTCAGAGTTGCAGATGTCAGTGCAACATGGTTTTCTACTCAAACTAAAATTATAAGGAAGAAAAAAACAGCCACGCAACTTTGTTTTACACTAATGAGAGATTTTTCTTGGCAACAATAAAAAGGTCTCTCTTTCACTCACACACACACACACACACACACACACAGTCGACAGAAGATAAGAAACAAACCAATATCTTCAGGGGGCAGAATGTCCAGGATGCAGCGTCTTAGGTCTGAACTTCCTGCTAAGTGTGTAGTGTACAAGCTCCGCAGTGAAAGGAAATAGGCATCAGCGTGCACCAAAACATCACCACAGACAGATTGAGCAGATACATCCTGCCCTCTACTCTCAGTGCTAATACACAGGAAGTGGAAACTCATTTGGCTTTGAAAGTTAAATTAAAAGAGTAACAGGACTACTATACCAAGAGAGATAGATGGTACATCATGCTTCCATCTTTCAAGGAGAGGAAAAGAAACTTTCCTACTCGGCAAGCCAAGAACTGACTTCTAACAGAAAATTGCTAGACAACAGTTTTGCAGATGGCAGAACTATTCCAACAGATTTTGTTCCAATAGGGAACAGTACTAATTAATACAGGTGTGGTCGTGGTAGTGGTGGTAGTAGTAGCAGTGACTGACAGAGCAAGAACTCTATTTACTTTATGAAACCCTGAAACAAAAATATGGGGTGAAATGAGGGCATAAGCCATTGTTACTTCCTTCGTTTGTTCTGGCAACAGTGAGATCAGCCTGTGTAAAAATCAACCCAGGTTCACCATTTTTTAGGCCTTAGAAGGTTTTCACTCTGCTAAACAGGAAAATCAAATGTGATCTCATAGAATAGGAAAATCCCTACAACATACAAGTGAGAGAGAATAAGCTACATCCACAAGTCAAGGGCTAATGGGGTTTTCTTTCTGATCCAAAATTAATCCAGAGACTAAAGAGCAAGACCAAAATTATTACCATTCTTTCAGCTCATCATCCCATTTCCTGTTTGAGAATGAGCCATTCTAAGAGATAAGGACTGGCTCCATTGCTCACATTAGCATAAAGAAAAATGACCCGTCCTGAAAGCAAGAGTGGACCCCGGCTTCACTCACCTGCAGACACTGGACTTTCTGGACATGGTGGTGCTGGGGGAAGAGGGTGGCGTCTGATACGACCAGCTGTAATCAGAACCTTTCAAGTCCAGAATCACCTAAGGGGACAGAGCCAGCTGGGTGAATGAGGTGCTGAGAGGGGAAGCGTTAGCCATCAAAGCTTAACATCCACCAAAGCATCAAAACGCTGCCATCGTGGGGGTGGGAATGAAAGCAAAACATGTTAAAAAAATTTTTTTTAAATTGAAGAGCCACAGTACCAAATCCATCAATATCATAATCCTTTTACTGAGAAAGTAAAACTATAATTAATAGGGAGAAGGAAAGGAAGGGAAAAGGAAAATCATGAAATATCAGTCGAGAGAGGGAGAAATACAGTGACCAATTAATAATTTATAACAGCCATTTATACCCAAGGCTAGAATTTACAGGATTTTCCTCTTGTAATGCCATAAAGTTAATCATGGTTCCCAGACTTGTTGGTAGCGCATTTTAACCACTTGATATTCAGTGGTCATTTCTGCCCTATTTGACCAGCACTAGAAATTTTAAAGCCTGACAGAATCAAGAACAAGCCAATTCTTTCACCATTATTTCTATATCTGTCTCCGTTGCTTGACAAAGGACCACATGAGTATAAGGTCCACCTTTCATTCACATAAGAAGCACTCAGTAAATGTTTATTTGTCAAGTGAATGCATGCATGCTCTGGTCTAATAAATATAATTTGATAGAATAGAAAACATGAGCTCCCAAATTTGCCCTCTGAGCCAGCTCTCCAAGGAGACGAAAAGATTGTTACCAAGCACAAAAGCCAGCATGTGATTCATCAGTTCCCCCAAATATGTCTCTTCCCATAGTGTGCGTGTGATGTGAATTAAATGAATAAAGCATAAAAATGTCATCTTTTTCATAAGATGAGAGAGCTCTCCATGCATTGCTCAATTAGAATGGGAGAAATGGAGAATGGTTGACAGTGTCAATCAAAACACACCAGCGACGTGTTCTTAGGAGGGTTGACTTCTAGAGGGCAGATGAACACAGCAATTAAGTGCATGGGATCTGGAACCTGACCAACTTGGTTCAAATATCAGTTCCACTACCTGCTAGCTAGCTGAACCTGGCTAAGTGACTCCATCTCTCAGTGCCTCTGCATCATTCTCTATAAAACAAGCATAATCATGAAGATGAATGGAGGAAGTCAGGCTATGTAAAGAGCTTGGGACAGTGCCTGACACACAATAGGTTCTATGTAACAGCTCGCTGTGGTGATTTCATATATTACATCATGAAGGACGTGGTGAATATGACTACAATTTAAGACGTGACACATGCCACAGGAACACTCAGGGCCTTGAGCTTTTACCTCTTTGGTTTGATCCTGTAAGTGCTTAACCCCTGAAGCCTACCTGTTCACTTGAGGAGGGCAGTTTGTGAGGGTCCATGGTCAGGCTTTTTAGATCTTCCGAGATGGTCTGAAGGTGGGTTATTTCCCCTAGCATTGAGATTTCTTCTTCCTGAAGGAAAAGTCATTCATGAAATGTTATTATCATGAGTGATTCCCTTCATCGCTCTAGTCCAATTGTTTTCATTAGGGTCTCTGTATAACCCTTTCAGTTTTTCAGAAAAGGCACTGTTGGGACTGGCAAATCTTTGCTGAAGGCACTACATGCCTTTTCTTTTGGGAAATGAGATGGAAAAAGAAATCTGCCATAATGGAGGAGTGACCTGTGCACAGGGGACAGTGGGGAACACACAGGCCTCCCTCCCAGGGCCTGGGGGACTGCCAGGCCTGCTCAGATGGTCTGACTGTGTGTTCCCACGGGATCCTGCAGCACAGCCCTCTTCATACTGTGGCCCTTTTCTGAAGTTGCTTAGCTTCAATGGATGACACGACTTGGATATATTTTGGTCCAGATCTTTGTGACAGTGCCTGTGTGTTCAACAGAAGCTAACTTTTCCCCTTCTTTCTTGTGCTTTTCCAGCAACTTAGTAAAAGACAAGTAAGACAGGAGCTGGGGACCATGGAAGAAACATCCCATGTGCTTTATCGAAGTGCCAAGTTGGGACCACGGGCCGGGCTAGAACGATCCATGGAAAAGTTCTGTGCTCAGGGGAACAACTCAAATTCAGACATTTTGCTAGGGCTAAGGGAAATGAGCTGGTACCTTCGAATCAGCTTCCAGAACGCCTGCAGTGCAAGTTCTCAATTACGGCATGCAAATGATTTCCTTAAAAATTAAGTCTAAATTGATTCATTGAGGCTCTTGGATATTCATCTCATGGTCACCCCTTAGTACTCGGCTACAACAGTGAGTCTCAAAACCACCTGGAGTGCTCCTTTAAAACACAGACGACTGGGTCCCCACCCCCAGAGGTTTGGACTTGGTGGGTCTGGGTTGGGCCCAAGAACTTGCATTTCTAGCCAGTTCCCACGTGATGCTGCTGACCTGGGGACCTCACTTTGAGAACCACCCTGCTGGGCCTTCTTGACTTGGTGAGACAAAGTAACGGGGAACAAGTGGTACTAGAACAGTGAATGAGGAGTGAGCTACATGGCCATCAACTTGCACTGAATCGCTGGTCTGTACAGGAGATACCACCATCATGATTCCTGACAGTAGATTCTCCATGACTCAACAGTGGATGGATAAAATTAGAAGGAAGCCACCTCTACACCAGCAGTTTAAACCTTCTGGAGTTTTCCATTAACTTACAATCACTGGCCGCAGCATAGAGATGAAGGTACAGAATCGGCCACGTTCTTCAATCAAAGCCTTCCGGACAGCCTGCTTTTCTGTTTCTTCCAATAAGAGATACTTATCATTGACATCTTGGAGAGCACTGTCCAACTGAGGCTGGATATCACCTCTCCCTGCAAAAAACAGAGACCCAAGCACGGCTTGCTGAAATACCAGCTTCTGGAACAAGTGCCCCTCCTCCCTGGGGTCCTTGCTGGAGTCAAAACCACAATTTTCCAGGATGTAAAAAAAGTATTTATTCATGCCCCAAAAGGATTTAAGGCAGCTGTTTTTCTAGGACCAGCCATTTCCAATTTTCAATGCCCAAAGGGCACATTTAGCCTGGCTTATTCCTGACAAGGAAAATGTCCTGGGGCAACTCTTCATGACTTGCCTTCTCACACTGCACAACCCCCACCAACTCTTCTGCCAACACAACCCTGGAACACAGAGCCAGACAGCATTCTTTCCTTGCAGAACATTCTGAAGAGGCTAAGAGATGTGGAAACAAGGTAAGAGCCTGTGGGTGTTTCCAAAAACGGGCACGGGCTGGCTTTGTTGGGTCAATCTCAATCAAAGAGCCTCTGTCTGGATAGAAGGATCTGCTCCTAAAGACAAAGGTGGCAAGCATCCGCTCTCCTGGCTCTGGGGGCCCATGGGAATCCTTGGCAGTTCCTTTGACTCTCTAGTGGAGAGTCTTGAATGCTCTTGCTGTAGAACAAGCCCAGTAATAACAAGACCTCCAGACAGGTCTCTGATGATGAAAAACTGAAAGTGGGGTCTATGCGGAGCCTGGCCCATGTTTAGGAATTATCTGGCCAGGTCCACAGACCCCAGTTAGGTGCAGGCAACCACTTCTGGAGTTTAAGACAGGGTGTTAGTCTTTTGAATGACTAACACATGGTCAGCAAACCATCTTTGCAAATAAAGTTTTATTAGAACACAGCCAAATCCATTTATTTACCATATTGCCTGTACCAGTTCTCCCTACAATGGCAGAGTAGTGTGACACAGAGTATGGCCCCCAGACCATGGCCTCTTGCAAAAGAAGCCTGCTGCCCTAAAAGATAAACATGGACCAAGAGGCACTGTGTCCAAAGGAGCAGCTACTACAAATCTGATCTGTAGGTGGGGACAGCAGGGTGACAGCAGGGGACACCAGCTCATGAGCTTCCACCTTGGGCTGCCTATGCAGGGGCCTTACCTATCACTCAAACCAGAGAGATACTTCCTAAACTTCTTCAGGGCAGGATTTTGGTCTTTCCCAGCACAGCCCCTAGTACAATGTCATGTGTGTATACAGCAGGTGCTTGATAAATGTCTGTTTAATAGTTTCAACACAAAATGTTAGAGCTGGAAGGGGTTATCCAATTGGGCCAATCTGCTCATGTTTCAATGGAGACCAAGTCCTAGAGAAGTCAAGGGACTCACCTAAGGTCACAGAAAGAATGGTACAGAGGCAGGGTTGAGCCACACTGCCTAATTCCCTTAACACTGAACCTATTCTCTGCCCCACCGCCTCGCAGGAAGGGCCCTGCAGTTTCCATCTATCCCTCTTAGTGATGTAGAGAACATTAAATGCAATGAACCATTTGGTCTGAAGAAAGAAAGGGTCAGGGAAAATTGCCTTGGATGTAGGAACATATTCTGTATTTTTCACTCATAAGCAGAGGAGAAAGTTTAATTTGGAGCAAGAGGCAATCAGGCTTAAAGCACATCCCAATAGAAAAGGTAGTCAGATTTTAGTAAGGAAAAGTCACTTCTCAGACAGGGAATAAGTTCTAAGTTAGCACATTATGAGAAAATTATAGTCAAAGATCACCCTTGAAAATGCCTTAGATGGCCAGTAAATACAGTATGGACAGCTTTGTGTATATAACTCTCATCAGTCAAGTGAGTACAAATGTGTAGATAGTATGTATCTAAGTCCACGGAGGGGTGCTACCCAACGATTATACTACACTGGCCCCTCCTCTGTGGTTTTGCTTTCCAAAGTTTCAGCTACCCATGGTGTGGTAAAATACGGTATTTTGAAAGAGAGAAAGAGACTACATTCGCATGACTTTTATTACAGTATATTGTTATAATTGTTCTATTATTATTGTTGTTAATCTCTTACTGTGCCTAAATTATGTATTAAACTTTACCATAGACATGTATGCATGGGAAAAACCACAGTATATGTAAGGTTCGGGTACTATCTGCAGTTTTAGGCATCCACGGGGGGTCTTGGAACATATCCCCTGAGGAGAAGGGGGAACTACTATATATAAGAAATTTGCTGCTTGAGAAGTCTCTGCATAATTTTCTCCTTTTTGGAGACAGAGTCTTGCTCTGTCACTCAGGCTGGAGTGCAGTGGAATGATCATAGCTCATTGCAGCCTCAGCCTCTTAAGCAGCTGGGACTACCAGCGTGCACCACCATGCCCAGCTAGTTTTTCAATTTTTTTTTATAAAGATTGGGTCTTGCTTTATTGGCCAGACGGTCTTGAACTCCTGGCCTCAAGTGATCCTCCCACCTCAGCCTCCCAAAGTGCTGGGATTACAGACATGAGCCACAGCGCCTGGGTGTTTCAGCATATTTTCAAGGTGACCCACTCACCCATTCTTCCATGTAGTCACTACCTCCACCCCTCAGAATAATTCTTTACCATGCCTTCAATTTCTTCCTCAAGGATGTAGGAGTAATCATCACCATACATTAATCTGGCCACCTGAGCCACTGGTTTCATGTGTTTTTAGTAGACAAGAAACCTGTAAAAACATTCTCCCATTCTCTCCTGGAATCTGCCTCAGGGCAGGTGCTCTGTTCACAGAGACCCACCACCTGTGGCCAACGGCTTACAGAGGGAAGGCTGGGTGCCACCAGCACTATGAAAACTGTGAGTTTTCTCTTCTATTTTAAAATGCTGGCTAGTGCAAAATTAATCCAGATATACTTAATGTGTGTATGATACGAGTCCACCAGCAGGGAAGCTCTGGAAAGCTGTAAACCCTTGCTTTTCCTCTGCAAGCAGCCAAACAGCATGGCCAATTGTGGGCCTTGTTGGGTCACATGACTCAGGGCTGGTCTAGAGGGCTACTTCTAGTCTCTCGATCTATTCTATGATGTTCTAATAACAAAACACAGAGGGCTGCAGACCACCTCAGAATGTTCTCAACTCTCGTGTAGGATGGTGAACAGAAGTCGGGAGACACCAGATTGAGACACATTGTGTTTGACCAAACTTGCTCGGTGGGCTTTGATTATGGTAGCAATTTAAAAAAATAACAGCCTATGAGGCCGGGAACGGTGGCTCATGCTTCTAATCCCAGCACTTTGGGAGGCCGCGGCGGGCGGATCATGAGGTCAGGAGTTCAAGACCAGCCTGGCCAATATGGTGAAACCCCGTCTCTACTAAAAGTACAAAAATTAGCTGGGTGTGGTGGCACACGCCTGTAGTCCCAGCCACTGGGGAGGCTGAGGCAGAAGAATTGCTTGAACCTGGGAGGGGGAGGTTGCAGTGAGCTGAGATCATGCCACTGCACTCCAGCCTGGGCGACAGAGCAAGAC
>NW_019805494.1:0-103072 GCF_000001405.40 Homo sapiens
TTCAAAAAAATGATACTTTTTAGCGAAAAAGCGTTAGATAGCATAATTATCCAAAAAGGAACTATTGGAAATTATGGAAAAAAATGTTATTAGAATTCACATAATCCTCCTCCCTTACTGGGGTGGGAGGGAGCTACCTATAGAAGGAATACAGGGCCTTGAAGTATTCAAAGAAATAACAATTAACAAAGGGCATAGTTTGAGGAGCCCAGCTTCTCATGAGAAGAAAAAGGCATTGCAAGGTGGCACAGAGGGACTAAGATCTCAAGCTCTACTTGGAGGTTTTCTTGAAGTGCTCCTGAAGCAATATCATAAAAGGAATTTGAGAATACAAGGCCAGTTGAACAAGTTAACCCTTCAGCCCCTTTCTAACTTGAGCTGTTGTGATTGCTCCTGTCCTCTGCTAGCCTGAGAAAGCTCAAGAGGAAGACCATGGGGCCACCATTTTCCACATTCACATTCACACATGCCCTCTCTCCATCAAGTATCTTATTAGACTATCTGTTGGAGTACAGGCTAAATAAGTGTCCTCAAATAAGTGATGGTGAATAATGGCAGCACGTCCCTGTCCTGTTCCCTGACAATAAAGCTGGTATAGATTAAAGGCAAGATTTATCCTCCCTGGAACCTCAGGTAATGAACTGACTACCTGTATTCAAATCAAAGACACACTCATGCGTTCTTTTCTTTCTAACAGCTCAATTTCCAGAGTTGATATTGTGTACTCTGCCACATGCTGTGAGGTATGTAAGAAAAGTGGCATGTGGCCTGGCATCTCAGTTACTTATCACCCCCCTCCAGAGCCAGGGAGCAGTTTCAAATGTGTTCGATTGCCCAAGATCTAAAAATTAAAAATAGTAATTTAAATGTCCCAGATCAGAAAATCATATTCTTCTCTTCTTTCCATTTGTTGCTTTTGAGTCTCGCCACGACCACAATATCAGGTACACAGCAGGCCTCTAAAACTCAATATTACTATTGCTGTTAGTTCCATTGATTCAAGAAAAGCTTGTTGGGCATCAACTATGTGCTAGCACTATACTAGGTTCTTTATATACACTATTTAATTTATGTCAATAGCAATCCAATGCGCTGGGGAAAATGAAGCTCAAAGATTTTGAATTATTTACCGGAGGTTGCAAAGTTAGGGATCGGCCCAACTCCAAACCCAGGTTTTTCTGGTTAGCCCTGCTGCCCTAATCAATACAGTCTTTTAAATGAAGAAGAACTTTGTATCCACCAAGATAATGAATCCCAAGATTCTCACCACCCCTGCTTTCTTATGTGTTAACCAAGATTCCAATGTTTTGAAAGACTTTAATTGCCTGGCTGAATTTATTTAAAGAGAATATTCCTCTGCTTATGGAAAAATATTTGAAACTCCCAACCCAGGTCTTTGCTCAACATGAGACAATCAGATTTATCACAGAATCCATAATGATCCTAGCATAAGCAGTTGACATTTTACCAAGGCATGGCTTTTCTGAAATATTGACAATTGTTCTAAGTTCCTCATCATTCTGGTCTTACCTCCCAGAGATTTTTAAGGGAGACATTTAATACAATCAATGTAGTGTTTCAAGAAGGAGGTTCTATTCTGATATTAATATAAAAGGAGACCAGTGTTAGGCCCTCAGTTGATGCCCCACTTCTCCCAGCCCACTCCATGTTAACCCAGCAAGGAGAAAGACATGGAAGAGGGGAGGCAGGAGGGCAGGGTGTGAGAGAGAGGAGATGGCCTTGAATTCAGTAGGTCCGGAAGCATATAAAGGAGAGTGGCAGGCAGCACCAAGCATCCTGCTGTTTGACAATGCTGCCACCTTCTGGCATATATTGGAAATTTACTAGAAAAATATTACTAGTCACTGTCATTTTATAGATAACCCAGAAAGATGTGATCGGATATACGAATAAAGTTTGTTTTAATTACCTCCAAGGTATTCCTGGTATCTATTGAAACTAGAATTCAATACACTTACTTTTCAAGCTCCTGTCTTTTAAAGTATTCCATACTGTGCGTGGACGATTAGAGAAACTTCCTGGATGTCATACTTACCTCCATGCAGGCTCCCTTCCAATCCAGTCCCTCCCCCCACCCACCCCCTGCCTCTAGCAGTCAGAGTCTCCATGACTTAATTTCACTTGGAACAAATTCAAATGTGTTTCTCTGGCCCAGGAAGGATCCCAAACTGGTAGCCTGCAAGCCCAGTTACAGCAGCTCAGCTTTTATATAAATGACCAGAATAGTGTTTTAAATGACTACAGTGGGATACCCCCATGTCTCAGTCTTCCAGCAACTTCCCAACCACACCCAATACACATACACACACACACACACACACACACACCTATTCACATACTCATTTACGCACATGGCCCCTGAAGTCAACAAAGTTTACTTGGAAATTTACATTCATCCAGAACCTCAGAATGTGCCCTTATTTGGAAATAGAGCCCTTGCAGATGTATTTAGCTAAAAAGAAGTCATGCTGGATTAGAGTGAGCCCTAAATCCATGACTTACGATGGACATATAAGGACATATAACTTATGTCCTTATAAGAAAAGACAATTTTTTTTCAAGATGGTGGATTAAAGCCTTTTAGTGTGTGCTCAGCCACTTGGAAATAGCAAGACAGTGCATAAAGATCAACTCTGTGAGCTTAATTCAAGAAGGAAAATGGGAATCCACCAGAATTGTGAAGGACATTCCAAATCCCAGGGAGGAGAACGCCGGCAAACAGCCCCCATGACAGTGTATGGCTGATAAAAGTAAGTGAAGCCCCAGTACGTGAGAGAGAAAGAGAACCTCCCTCTGTAAGTCACATTTCCGTGGGGATCCGAGAAAGACAGGCCGAGGGAGAGCACTTTGTTTCTCTCAAGCTGTGGAACTAAGTTGGGGAGAGGTTTGAAGCCACTGTGAAGGAATAGGAATGGGAAAAGCTACAGACATATTCCCAGACTCAGGACTGAGATCAGGATGCCATTTTTAATCTAGGCACATACAAAGTCACCCATTCTTTGCTGACCCGGTAGCATGACTGCGCAGGCATTTTAGTCTTGGGTAAGAGATTGGAGCACCTGCTCTGGAGTAGGGTAGGAGCCTCCACAGTCAGAACTGTGCAAAGTGCCTCAGCAGTAGGTGCTAGAATTGTATTCTCCCCCATCACAGGTCTGGGGCAGAAGAAAAGCTGCTACAGCTGCAGTTTTATGTGGGCAGCAAGACTTCAGCCAGGGCCATCTTGGCAACCTGGAACCCCCCTGCATATGCCATTGCTGGGTGCCCAGACTGCTCCTCTGAGATCATGGTGTAGCAGGGCCCTCTCCACTCCACCCCAGACAGAAATCCAGGCATTCAGAGCACACTTGGCCGGGACCAGCAGCCTAAGCTGCCCCATCCATCCTGGACATAGACTGTGGTGCAGCAAGGTCTTCACTGCTCTACACCCAGGCAGATCTCCAGGCATTCAGAGCACCGGCTTGCCCAGATCAGCAGCCTGAGTCTCCTCACCCCTCTTGTGCAGAGATCTTGGTGCAGGGGGCCCTCTCTCCTCCACACTCAGGTAGATCTCCAGGCATTTGGAACACCCACTCAACTTGATAAGAAGCCTGACCTGCCCCACTGTTTCTGTGCAGTGACCCTGGTGCAGAGGAGTCCTCTGCTACACACCCAGGCGGATCTCCGGGCATCTGGAGCATCCACTTTCCTGGATTAGAGTTCAGGTTGTCCCCGCATCACCATACAGAGAATAGGGGACTGAGGAAGTTTTCCAGCTCCACACCTAGCCACATCTCTGGGTGCTTGGTGGCCACCCACTGGATTCTCCCTCAGCACAGGTGCTTGTGCCTGCCATCATGGGACCTGCAGGTGTACCCCCAATGAGCACCACCTCCCCCCAGGGGCTAAGCAGGGAGCTCAGACCACTATGCATTCCACGAATCAGTTCATTGTCTAGGGCAACACAGAGCTTCTGCTAGTAAACAAGGATCAAGTATATACCCAGCCACACTGGCTGCACCAGCTCTTACCTATAAGCACCATCTACTGGCTTGTAGATCAAACTGCACAGTGCGATATAAAACTTGCCGAGGGCTCTGCCTGGTGGCTCTGGTCCCACAGGGGCCGTTGGCCCAGGCGGACGGACCCTGAGCTGAGGTAGCCCGCTGCTGGAGAGGCTGTTCGCCTGGGGCGGGCTCTTGTGGACCTTCCTCAAGCACCAGGCAGGGTCTGAAGCCCATTTGAAGGTCAGGAGGCCCGAGGTGGTGGCGGTGGTCAAGCTGCTGAACGAGAAGGAGCAGGAGCTGCGGGAGACCAAGAGCTTGCTGCACGATGAGGATGAAAATTTAAGGAAATGTGCAGAGAATGAAATAACTTTGTGTCAAAAAGAAATAACTCAGTTGAAGCATCAGAAGAAACAGATGAAAATGATCTGATCCTGCAAGTAACTGCAGGAGTTGGAAGACAGGAGGCAATGTTGTTTACTTCAGAGATATTTGATATGTGTCAGCAATAAGCTGCATTTAAAAGATGGCATTTTGAGACCCTGGAATATTTTCCAAGTGAAATAGGTGGACTTAGACATGTATCTGCCAGTATTGGGGGTTCAGAAGCCTATAGGCACATGAAATTTGTTTTTTTTAATTATTATTATACTTTAAGTTCTAGGGTACATGTGCACAAGGTGCAGGCTTATTACATATGCAGACATGTGCCATGTTGGTGTGCTGCACCCATTAACTCATCATTTACATTAGGTATATCTCCTAATGCTTTCCCTCCCCCCTTCTCCCACCCCACAACAGGCCCCAGTGTGTGATGTTCCCCTTCCTGTGTCCAGGTGTTCTCATTGTTCAATTCCCACCTGTAAGTGAGAACATGTGGTGTTTGGTTTTTTGTTCTTGCGATAGTTTGCTGAGAATGATGGTTTCCAGCTTCATCCATGTCCCTACAAAGGACATGAACTCATCCTTTTTTATGGCTGCATAGTATTCCATGGTGTATATGTGCCACATTTTCTTTATCCAGTCTATCATTGATGGACATTTGGGTTGGTTCCGAGTCTTTGCTATTGTAAAAAGTGTCGCAATAAACATATGTGAGGCACATGAAATTTGAAGGAGGTGTGCACAGAGTACAAAGAGTGCCAAAGACAGAAAAGCAAGGCTGCATCCATGCTAGCACCATGACTGTAAGCAGTATTGCCCCAACCTACTGAGATTAATCTGGTGACTAATCCAAAAGATTTGAGAATCAACACTAAGCGAGCCAGTGGAGCTGCGGGGGCAGCATGTAAATACCATGGACAGTGCTGTCCGGATAGTTCATCTTCCAACGGAAGAAGAAAAAGGATGAGAAGGAAAAGGAGTATTCCTTGAAAATAAGTAAAGAAGATTTTTCTATTAAAACTTTTTAATTCTTGTAACACTATTCAGGTGTTTCTGAATGCCAACAAGAGAGATCTCACCCGAAAAAATAAAGAGCTGGCTATGAAAAAGTTATGTGTAAAACTGTACAACATGTATCTAGAAGAAGAAATGAATAAAAGACACGATGCTAGAAAAATTCAGATTGGAAGTAAAGGAAGATCAGAGAAAATAAGAACATATAATTTTCCACAGAACCAGGTCACAGATCACAGAATAAGCAAGTCACTGCATGATCTTGAAACTGTTATGCAAGGAGATTATCTACTGGATGAACTTGTACAGTCATTGAAGAAATATGCTGATTATGAATCTTTAGTAGAAATTATTTCCCAAAAAGTTTAAGTTGATTTTTTATTCATACACTTTTGTAGCTTAGAAAAATTCTACTACAGCACATCCACATAGTGTAAAAATACCATTATTCTCTTAAAAAACATGAGTTAACACAGTTGGAAGAAATATGCGTATTCTGAAGTCATAGATAATTTACACAGATCTCTTTCAATGCATTAGTAAAAATCACACAATATACAGATGGTCCTCAATTTACATTGTGGTTAATTCCCAATAAACCCATCATAAGTCAAAAATACATATAACATTAGCAACACAGCAGTCTCCTACTTAATGACAGCTTGACTTAACAATTTTCCAACTTTACCGTGGTGTGAAAGAGGTATGATTCATAAGTCCTAAGGAGCTCCTCAGCTTGAAATGGGGCTACAGGCCGATAAACCCATCATAAAGTCAAAAAATCCTAAAACCATCATAAGCTGGTGACCATCTGTAATCATGATGTGGTGGTAAATCTTGGACGCTTCTTTACAGTAAGTAGACAAAGGAAAATCATCCTTTGTCCTGTTCTATGTAAATATTTAATGAATTATCAAAAATTCAGTTTAAATCTTCATTATGAAAAACTTTAAACATAAAGTGGTAGAAATATGACAGTAAATATTATATCCTAATACCCAGCCAGGAGACAGAAACCATACCATTAACTTGAACAGGGATAATTTTAATATAAAAAAACTTTTAACTGATAATGGTATTAGCTATTAAGAAGGATAAAAAAGAGCTACAATGTCCTAGGACTGAGTACCCAAGGAAAGAATATCCTTGGAAGGGGCTCCTCTTCCCCATGGTGAAGTCAGACCTAATGGAAAGAGTGTGACTACTCACTACTCAGTGATAGGGTAGTTCCCTGCCTTGCCCTGGGCCAGAGCTGCTGTGCAGCTAGTGGATCAGGTCTTGCAAGCAAACAACCTCACACCCTCAGGACTGGTAAGCCAGGAGCCTCCTGCTAGGGTGTGAGCAAAACTTGGACAGGAACTCTCAGTAGATGTTTGTGTTTGTCAAGGTTCTCCAGAGAAACTACCTTAAAGGGATTGGCTTCTGTGATTATTATTAAGTCTAACAAGTCCAAAACCTGGAGTGTGAGGCAAGAGGCTGGCAACCCAGGAAAGCTGATGGTGCGGGTCCAGTCCAAAGGTATCTGTTGGAGGATTCTCTTTTTCTTGGAAGAGGACAGTCTTTTTTCTCTTCAGCCCTTCAACTGACTGGATCAAGCCCACTAACATCGAGGAGGGCAGTCTGCGTTATTCAAAGTTCACTGATTTAAATGTCAATCTCATGTAAAAACACCCTCACAGAAACACCCAGAATAAAGTTTGACCTTATAACTGGAAAGTCAGAGCAAAAGTTAAATATCTAAAATTTTAAAAAAATATATGACCAAATAGTTGGGCACCCTGTGGCCCAGCCACATTGACACCTAAAATTAACTGTCACAGCATCCTCTTAGAAGCAAGAGGAGAAGCAAGAGAAGCCCCTTTATTCTGCAGTGTCCCTCTACCACCACCTACTGACAAAGAACGTGGTGCTGTCTGGCAAAAGGGAAATGTTCAGTTTGCCATGACTTGAATGTGTCCCCTCAAATTCAAGTGTTGCCAATACAATAGCATCAAGAGGTGGGGCCTTTAAGAGGTCACTGGGCCACAAGGGGTTCTCTCTCAGGACTGGGATTAAGGCCCTTATAAAAGAGCCTTCAGGGAGCATCCTGCTAGCTTGCTTTCTGTATGTGAGAACACAGCAAGAAAGCCCTAGTCGAACAAGTGCCAGATCATTGATCTTAGATTTCCCATCCTCCAGAACTGTGAGAAATATATTTCTGTTCTTTATAAATTAAAAAAAAAAAAAACTTGCTGAAAGAAGTGCAGAGGGCTATAGAAGGAAAGCCAAAAGACCCTACCCAGCATTCTCTACAGTTACACCCCCTAGGGAGGGGGGAAAAGGGAAAGAAAAAATAATACTATTATAGGGAAATAAAAAGAAAAACTCCTACCCACACTAAAATAATTACAAATATTAGAAGTGCCAAGGTCTCCAGATGAGAAGGAACCAGCACAAAAAATCTGAATGTAGTGACACCACCAAATGATCACACTGGATCTACAGCAATGGTCTGTAATCAAAATGGAAACTCGGAAATGACAGATAAAGAATTCAGAGTATGGATTGCAAGGAAGCTCAATGAGCTCCAGGACAAGGTTGAAAATCAACACAAAGAAACTTCTAAAGGATTCTCTTCCAAGATGGCCGAATAGGAACAGCACCGGTCTGCAGTTCCCAGTGTGATTGATGCAGAAGACGGGTGATTTCTGCATTTCCAACTGAGGTACCTGGTTCATCTCAATAGGACTGGTTGGACAGTGGGTGCAGCCCACAGAGGGCAAGCTGAAGCAGGGTGGGTCATTGCCTCATCCAGGAAGTGCAAGGGGTCACGGGATTTCCCTTTCCTAGCCAAGGGAAGCCGTGACAGACTGTACCTGGAAAATCAGGACACTCTCTCCCAAATACTGTGCTTTTCCAATGGTCTTAGCAAACAGCACACCAGGAGATTATATCCCGCATGTGGCTCAGCAGGTCCCACACCCACGGAGCCTTGCTCACTGCTAGCGCAGCAATCTGAGGTCAACCTGCGAGGCAGCAACCTGGCAGGAGAGGGAGGTGTCCGCCATTGCTGAGGCTTGAGTAGGTAAACAAAGCAGCTGGGGAAGCTCAAAGTGGGCAGAGCCCACCACAGTTCAGCAAGGTCTGTTGCCTCTGTAGATTCCACCTCTGGGGGCAGGGCATAGCTGAACAAAAGGCAGCAGAAACTTCTGCAGACTTAAACATCCCTGTCTGACAGCTCTTAACAGAGCAGTGGTTCTCCCGGCATGGTGCATGAGCTCTGAGAATGGAAAGACTGCCTCCTCGAGTGGGTCCCTGACCCCCATGTAGCCTAACTGGGAGACACTTCCCAGTAGGGGCCAACTAACACCTCATACAGGCGGATGCCCCTCTGGGATGAAACTTCCAGAGGAAGGATCAGGCAGCAATATTTGCTGTTCTGCAGCCTCTGCTGGTGATACCCAGGCAAATAGGGTCTGGAGTGGACCTCCAGCAAACTCCAACAGACCTGCAGCTGAGGGACCTGACTATTAGAAGGAAAACTAACAAACAGAAAAGAATAGCATCAACATCAACAAAAAGCACATCCACACCAAAACCCCATCTGTAGGCTGCCAACATCAAAAACCAAAGGTAGATAAAACCACAAAGATGGAGAGAAACCAGAGCAGAAAAGTTGAAAATTCTAAAAACCAGAGCGCCTCTTCTCCTCCAAAGGACGACAGCTGGTGAGGACCAGCAATGAAACAAAGCTGGATGGAGAATGACTTTGATGACCTGACAGAAGTAGACTTCACAAGGTCAGTAATAACAAACTTCTCTGAGCTAAAGGAGGATGTTCAAACCCATCACAAGGAAGCTAAAAACCTTGAAAAAAGATTAGATGAATGGCTAACTAGAATAAACAGTGTAGAGAACACCTTAAATGACCTGATGGAGCTGAAAACCATGGCATGAGAACTACGTGATGCATGCACAATCTTCAACAGCCGATTCAATCAAGAGGAAGAAAGTGTATCAGTGATTGAAGATCAAATTAATGAGATAAAGTGAGAAGAGAAGTTTAGAGAAAAAAAGTAAAAAGAAATGAACAAAGCCTCCAAGAAATATGGGACTATGTGAAAAGACCAAATCTACATTTGATTGGTGTACCTGAAAGTGATGGGGAGAATGGAACCAAGTTGGAAAACACTCTTCAGGATATTATCCAGGAGAACTTCCCCAATCTAGCAAGGCAGGCCAACACTGAAATTCGGGAAATACAGAGAACACCACAAAGATACTCCTCGAGAAGAGCAACCCCAAGACACATAATTGTCAGATTCACCAAGATTGAAATGAAGGAAAAAAATGTTAAGGGCAGCCAGAGAGAAAGGTCAGGTTACCCACAAAAGGAAGTCCAACAGACTAACAGCAGATCTCTCAGCAGAAACTCCACAAGCCAGATGAGAGTGGGGGCCAATATCCAACATTCCTAAAGAAAAGAATTTTCAACCCAGAATTTCATATCCAGCCAAACTAAGCTTCATAAGTGAAGAAGAAATAAAACCCTTTACAGACAAGCAAATGCTGAGAGATTTTGTCATCACCAGGCCTGCCCTAAAAGAGCACTAAACATGGAAAGGAACAACTGGTACCAGACACTGCAAAAACAGCCAAATTGTAAAGACCATTGATGCTAGGAAGAAACTGCATCAACTAACAAGCAAAATAACCAGCTAACATCATAATGACAGGATCAAATTCACACATAAAAATATTAACCTTAAATGTAAATGGGCTAAATGTTCCAATTAAAAGACACAGACTGGCAAATTGGATAAAGAGTCAAGACCCATCAGTGTGCTGTATTCAGGACACCCATCTCACATGCAGAGACAGGCTCAAATAGAGGGATGGAGGAAGATCTACCAAGCAAATGGAAAGCAAAAAAAAGCAGGGGTTGCAATCCTAGTCTCTGATAAAACAGACTTTAAACCAACAAAGATCAGAAGAGACAAAGAAGGCCATTACATAACAGTAAAGGGATCAATTCAACAAGAAGAGCTAACTATCCTAAATATATATGCACCCAATACAGGAGCACCCAGATTCATAAAGCAAGTCCTGAGTGACCTACAAAGAGACTTAGATTCCCACACAATAATAATGGGAGACTTTAACACCCCACTGTTAATATTAGACAGATCAACGAGACATAAGATTAACAAGGATATCCAGGACTTGAACTCAGCTCTGCACCAAGTGGACCTAATAGACATCTACAGAACTCTCCACCCCAAATCAACAGAATAGACATTCTTCTCAGCACCACATCGCACTTATTCCAAAATTGACCACATAGTTGGAAGTAAAGCACTCCTCAGCAAATGTAAAAGAACAGAAATCACAACAAACTGTCTTTCAGACCACAGTGCAATCAAATTAGAACTCAGGATTAAGAAACTCACTTAAAACCACACAACTACATGGAAACTGAACAACCTGCTCCTGAATGACTACTGGGTAAACAACAAAATGAAGGCAGAAATAAAGATGTTCTTTGAAACCAATGAGAAAAAAAACACAATGTACCAGAATCTCTGGGACACATTTAAAGCAGTGTGTACAGGGAAATTTATAGCACTAAATGCCCACAAGAGAAAGCAGGCAAGATCTAAAATTGACACCCTAACATCACAATTAAAAGAACTAGAGAAGCAAGGCCAAACAAATTCAAAAGCTAGCAGAAGGTAAGAAATAACTAAGATCAGAGCAGAACTAAAGGAGATAGAGACACAAAAAACCCTCAAAAAATCAATGAATCCAGGAACTTGTTTTTTGAAAAGGTCAACAAAACTGATAGACCGCTAGCAAGACTAATAAAGTAGAAAAGAGAGAAGAATCAAATAGACACAATAAAAAATGATAAAGGGGATATCACCAACAATCCCACAGGAATACAAACTACCATCAGAGAATACTATAAACACCTCTACTCAAATAAACTAGAAAATCTAGAAGAAATGGATAAATTCCTGGACACACACATGCTCCGGAAGAAATTGAATTTTTGAATAGATCAATAACAGGCTCTGAAATTGAGGCAATAATTAATAGCCTACCAACCAAAAAAAGTCCAGGACCAGATGGATTCACAGCCGAATTCTACCAGAGGTACAGAGAGGAGCTGGTACCATTCCTTCTGAAACTATTCCAATCAATAGAAAAACAGGGAATCCTAACTCATTTTATGAGGCCAGCATCGTTCTGATACCAAAGCCTGGCACAGATGCAACAAAAAAAGAGAATTTTAGACCAATATCCCTGATGAACATCGACGTGAAAATCCTCAATAAAATACTGGCAAACCAAATCCAGCAGCACATCAAAAAGCTATCCACCACGATCAACTCAGCTTCATCCTTGGGATGCAAGGCTGGTTCAACATATGCAAATCAATAAACGTAATCCATCACATAAACGGAACCATCGACAAACAACACATGATTATCTCAATAGATGCAGAAAAGGCCTTCGACAAAATTCAACAGCCCATCATGCTAAAAACTCTCAATAAATTAGGTATTGATGGGACGTTATCTCAAAATAATAAGAGCTATTTATGACAAACCCACAGCCAATATCATACTGAATGGGCAAAAACTGGAAGCATTCCTTTTGAAAACTGGCACAAGACAGGGATGCCCTCTCTCACCACTCCTATTCAACATAGTGTTGGAAGTTCTGGCCAGGGCAATCAGGCAAGAGAAAGAAATGAAGGGTATTCAATTAAGAAAAGAGGAAGTCAAATTGTCCCTGTTTGCAGATCACATGATTGTATATTTAGAAAACCCCATCATCTTAGCCCAAAATCTCCTTAAGCTGATAAGCAACTTCAGCAAAGTCTCAGGATATCAAATCAATGTGCAAAAATCACAAGCATTCTTATACACCAATAACAGACAAACAAAGAGCCAAATCATGAATGAACTCCCATTCACAATTGCTACAAAGAGAGTAAAATACCTAGGAATCCAACTTACAAGGGATGTGAAGGACCTCTTCAAGGAGAACTACAAACCACTGCTCAATGAAATAAAAGAGGACACAAACAAATGGAAGAACATTCCATGCTCATGGGTAGGAAGAATCAATAGCGTGAAAATGGCCATACTGCCCAAGGTAATTTATAGATTCAATGCCATCCCCATCAAGCTACCAATGACTTTCTTCACAGAATTGGAAAAAACTACTTTAAAGTTCATATGGAACCAAAAAAGAGCCTGCATTGCCAAGACAATCCTAAGCCAAAAGAACAAAGCTGGAAGCATCACGCTACCTGACTTCAAACTATACTACAAGGCTACAGTAACCAAAACAGCATGGTACTGTTACCAAAACAGAGATGTAGACCAATGGAACAGAAAAGAGCCCTCAGAAACAATACCACACATCTACAACCTTCTGATCTTTGACAAACCTGACAAAAACAAGAAATGGGGAAAGAATTCTCTATTTAATAAATGGTGCTGGGAAAACTGGCTAGTCATATGTGGAAAACTGGCTAGTCATATGTAAAAACTGAAACTGGATCCCTTCCTTCCACCTTATACAAACATTAATTCAAGATGGATTAAAGACTTAAATGTAAGACCTAAAACCATAAAAACTCTAGAAGAAAACCTAGGCAACACCATTCAGGACATAGGCATGGGCAAGAACTTCATGACTAAAACACCAAAAGCAATGGCAACAAAAGCCAAAATAGACAAATAGGATCTAATTAAACCAAAGAGCTTCTGCACAGCAAAAGAAGCTACCATCAGAGTGAACAGGCAACCTACAGAATGGGAGAAAGTTTTTGCAATCTACTCGTCTGACAAAGGGCTAATATCCAGAATCTACAAACAACTTAAACAAATTTACAAGAAAAAAACAAACAACCCCATCAAAAAGTGGGCAAAGGATATGAACAGAAACTTCTCAAAAGAAGACATTTATGCAGCCAACAGACAGACATGTGAAAAAATGCTCATCATCACTGGCCATAAGAGAAATGCAAATCAAAACCACAATGAGATACCATCTCACACCAGTTAGAATGGTGATCATTAAAAAGTCAGGAAACAATAGATGCTGGAGAGGATGTGGAGAAATAGGAACACTTTTACATTGTTGGTGGGACTGTAAACTAGTTCAACCATTGTGGAAGACAGTGTGGCGATTCCTCAAGGATCTAGACCCATTTGACCCATTGATCCCATTACTGGGTATATACCCAAAGGATTATAAATCATGCTATAAAGACACATGCACACATATGTTTATTGTGGCACTATTCACAATAGCAAAGACTTGGAGCCAACCCAAATGTTCATCAATGATAGACTGGATTAAGAAAATGTGGTACATATACAACATGGAATACTATGCAGCCATAAAAAAGGTTGAGTTCATGTCCTTTGCAAGGACATGGATGAAGCTGGAAACCATCATTCTCAGCAAACTATCACAAGGACAGAAAACCAAACACCGCATGTTCTCACTCATAGGTGGGAATTGAACAATGAGAACACTTGGACACAGGGTGGGGAACATCACACACTGGGGCCTCTCGTGGGGTGGGGAGCAGGGGGAGGGATAGCATTAGGAGAAGTACCTAATGTAAATGACGAGTTAACGGGTGCAGCACACCAACATGGCTTATGTATACCTATGTAACAAACCTGCACGTTGTGCACTTGTACCCTAGAACTTAAAGTATAGTTTTTAAAAAAAAGAAAAAAAATACTTCTAAAGCAATCTAGGAAATGAAGGAAGAGATAAACATCTTAAAAAGAAATCAGTCAGAGTTTCTAGATTTGAAAAACTCACTTAAGGCATTTCAAAATAAAACTGAAACCTTTATCAATAGACTGGACCAAGAAGAAGAAAAAGTCTGAGCTAGAGCTTGAAGACCAGTTTTTGAACTAATCCAGTCAGATAAAAGTAAAGAAAAAAGAGTTTTTATTTTTTTTTATTATACTTTAAGTTCTGGGGTTTGTTACATAGGTATACATGTTTGATGTCGGTTTGCTGAAGACCTGAAGGAAGTGGGTGGCAAGCCATGTGCACGTTCAAGGCAGGTCATTCCAGGCAGAAGGAACAACAGGTGAGAATGCCCTGAGATGGGACTGTGCCTGAGGGCTTAAGGGACAGCAAGTATGCCATGTGGCTGGAGGGAGCAGCTAAGGAAAAATTATGAAGCGATGGGGACAGAAGCAAGCAAGGGCAAATCCTGTGCACTATTAGGATTCTGCTTTTTACTTTGAACTAGAGGGGAAATTATTAGAGCATTTTGAGTAGAAAAAAATGCAGAAAAGTTCATTTGTATCTCTCCTTTTGAGAAATGTCTGTTTGGATCCCTTGCCCATTTTTAAATCAGATTATTTGTTTTCTTGCTATTGAGTTGTTTGAGTTCCTTATATGGTCATGCATCATATAAAGACATTTCTGACAATGACAGGCCACACGTATGACGGTGGTCCCATAAGATTATAATGGAGCTGAAAAATCCTATCGCCTGCTGACGTTGTAGCTGTCCTAATATCCTGGCAGAACTCATTCTTCACATGTATGTGGTGATGCTGCTGTCAACAAACCTACTTCACAGCCAGCCATATAAAAGTATAGCACACACAGTTATCTATAATACAGAATACTTGCTAATAATCATAAATGACTGCATTACTGGCTTATGTGTTTACTATAGATTGTTATTTTAGAATGTATTCATTTGTCATATTTTTTTAATTTAATATAAAACAGACTCAGGCATGTCCTTCAGGATGCATTCCAGAAGAAAGCCTTGTTATCCTAGGAGATGACACCTCCATGCATGTTATTGTCCCTGAAGACCTTCCAGTGGGACCAGGTGTGGAGGTGGAAGAAAGTGATATTGCTTATCCTAACCCTACGTAGGACTGGGCTAATGTGTGTGTGTTTGTGTCTTCATTTTTAACAAAAAGTTTACAAACTAAAAAATAAAGAAAAAGAAATTTTACATAGAAAAAAGCTTATAGAATAAGGATATAAGAAAATGTTATGTACAGCTTTAGAATGTTTGGGTTTTAAGCTAAATATTATAAAAGAGTCAAAAGGTTTGCAAAAAAATAAAAAGTTTATAAAGTAAAAAGTCACAGTAAGCTAAGTTCATTGTTGAAGAAAGAAAAATATTTTTTGTAAGTTTAGTGTAGCCTAAGTGTATAGTATTTATAAAGTCTACTGTAGTGTATAGCAATCCTAGGCCCTCTCATTCACTCACCGCTCACTCACTGACTCACTCAGAGCAACTTTCAGTTCATAGTAAGCTATTTCTGCAAGTTCCGTTCATGGTAAGGGCTTTATACAGGTGTACCATTTTTAATTTTTATACTTTATTTTTACTGTACCTTTACTACTTCAGATTTGTTTAGTTACACAAATTCTTATAATTATGTTACAGCTGTCTATAGTATTCAGTACATTAACATGCTGTACAGGTTTATAGCCTTTGAGCAATAGGCCATACCATATAGCTTAGGTGTGCAGTAGACTATATTGTCTACGTTTGTGTAAGTACACTTTATGGTGTTCCCACAACTGAAACCACCTAATGATGCATTTATTAGAATGTAGCTCCATCATTAAGCAACTGATTTATACACGACTATATATTTTGGATATTAGCTCCCTAGCAGATGTATGGATTGCAAATATTTTCTCCTAATCCATAGGTTGTCTCTTCACTCTGTTAATTTCTTCCTTTACTGCACAGAAGCTTTTTAACTTAATGGAATCCATTTGTCTAATTTTGCTATTGTTGCCCGTGCTTTCGGAGTTCTACCCAATAAATCATTGCCCAGACCAGTGTCATGGAGCTTTTCCCTATGTTTTCTTCTGGTAGCCTTGCCGTTTCAAGTCTTACGTTTAAGTCTTTTATCCGTTTTGAATTGATTTTTTTTTATGGTGTGAGTATAAAGGTCCAATTTTATTCTTCTGAATGTGGATATCCAGTTTTCCCAATACCATTTATTGAAGAGATTGTTCTTTCCCCATTACGCATTCTTGGCACTTTTGTTGAAAATCAATTGACCCTAAATACTTCGGTTTATTTCTGGGCTTTTTATCCTGTTCCATTGGCCAATTTGTCTGTTGTAATGCCAGTACCATGTTGTTTTGATTATAATATCTTTATAATATATTTTTAAAATCAGAAACTGTGATGCCTCCAGTTTTGTTATTTTAACTCAAAATTGTTTGGCTATTCACAGTCTTTTCTGGTTGTATATGAATTTGGGGGTTTTTTTCTATTTCTGTGAAAATGATATTAGAATTTTGATAAGAATTGCATTGAATCTGTAGATCACTTTGGGTAGTAGGGATATTTTAACAGCATCAGTTCTTCCAGTCCATGAACATGGGATTTTTCTAATTTATTTGTGTCTTCTTTAATTGTTGTCATCAATGCTCAATCATCAGGGAAATATTCTAATCATCAGGAAAATGCAAATTAAAATTACAATGAGCTATCCCCTCACACCTGTTAGAATGGCTATTAGCAGATAAATGAAAGATAAGTGTTGGTGAGGATGTGAAAAAAAGGAAAGTCTTGTAGGCTGTTGCTGGGAATGTAAATTAATACAGCCATGTTAGAAGACAGTATGGAGGTCCCTCAAAAAACTAAAAGCAACAGAACTACCATATGATTCAACAATCCCACTTCTAGTTATATATCCACAAGAAGTGAAATCAATAAGTTAGAGAAATATCTGCACTCCCATATTCATTGATGTATTATTTACAATAGATGAAACCAATCTAAGTGTTCATAAACAGATGAGTGAATAAAGAAAATGTAATATATATATATATATATATATACATGAAATAATATTCAGCCTTAAAAAAGAAGGATATGCTTTCATTTGTGACAACACAGATGAATGTGGAGGACATAATGCTAAGTGAAATAAGCCAGGCACAAAAGGAAAAATACTGCATAATCTCACTTATATGAAAAATTTTTAAGTTAAACTCATAGAAATAGAGAGTAGGACGGAGGTTACCAGATACTAGGGCGGGACTAAGATGGGGGTTATTGAAGAGATGTTGGTCAAAGAGTACAAAGTTTCAATTAAACAGAAGGAATAAGTTTTTGAGATCTATTGTACAACAGGGTGACCATAGTTAATCGCTGAGAGTAAATTGCAAATGCCCCATCACAAAAAATGATGAGAAAGTGAAGTGATAGATATATTAATGTGCTTGATGGAATCATCCCCTATTGTATACATATATCAAAATATCACATTTTGCCCCATAAAAATATACAATTATGATTTATCAACTTAAAGTAATATTCATTTTAGAAACAAAAAATCTGTTCAATAATCTAATGATATCTCACTTAGTCAATACACAATTGCAAGCCATCCAACCAGGGTCATTCTACAGGTCTCTAGGGTTTTCTCTCTGTACAACTCTTTCTTCTCTGTACTCTGTCCTGAAAACTCTAGCTGCCTTGGCTTCCCCAGACTCTCACCTTCATCCATTCAACTCGAGGAGGTTCTTAGGCTGTTCTTGTGTTCCTCCTTCCTGTGCCATGCTGGAAACTCTCTCAAGACAGTAATCTGGGGCAATCAGAGGGCTCACCTTGGTTTTCTTCCATTTCTCAAGGCTCACTGTCCTTTTTAACTGCTGTCCAATTACTTGAAAACCATTATTTCATATATTTTGTGGGTTTTTTAGTTGTTTCCAGCAGAAGGAAAAATCCAGTCTCTGCTACTCCATGTTGGCCAGAATCAAAAGTTTACTTTCATTTTTGAAAGTTATTTTGCTGAAAATTATTGTCAATTCTAGATTGATAGTTTTCCTTTATTTTGCTTTGCTTTTTATCATGGACTTGCATTATAATCATCAATAATTGTAACCTTTCTTTCTCTGAATGCATTGGGTCTTTCTGTGCCTGCTTTTAAAGTTATCCCTTTATCATTGGTTTTCAGGAATGTGATTATTGTACATCTTGGGATAGTGTTCTTGTGTGCTTATCCTGTTCAGAGTTCACCAAGCCATTTGGGTCTGTGGAGTTTGGTTTTTATTACATTTTCATTAAATTTTCAGCACGTATTTCTTTTAAGTATTGTTTTTGCTCACTTTAGTTATGGGGCTCCAATTACATGTGTTATATCGTATCACAGGTCCTTGAAGGTCTTTGCACTTTTTGTTTTTTGTGCTTCAGTTTAGCTTCTATTACTATATCTTAAATTTCATTTATCATTCCATCTGCATTACCTATTCTACTAACAAGCCTGTACAGTGTATTTTTATTTCACACATGATATTTTTTAGCTCTAGACATTCCATTTCGTTATTTTCAATTTATTCTTTTCTTTCCTCAATAGGCTTCTGTTTTCTTTTAAACACTTGAGCATATTTATAATAAGCTGTTTTAAAGTCCTTATCAGCTAACCCACCATCGTCATCCCATCTGTCATTTCTGTATTCTGTTTATTAACTAATTGATATGTTATAGATCACATTTACCTGCCTCTTCCCATGTGTAGTAATACTGGAATTGTGAATGTTGCATTATTGAATGTGTCTGGATTTTGTTGTATTCCTTTAAGAAGTGTTAAATTTTGCTTTAGCTGGCAACTAGTTATATGCAGATCCACTTGATTCTTTTGAGGCTTGTTTTTATACTCTGTTAAAATGGGGTTTATACAGCCTCCACTCTACATCTTATCCCTTCTACTAAGACATGATCCTTCTGGGACTTCTAATGAATGTCCTGAGTGTTCAATGAGTTCTGTCCATGGTAGCTGGTTGAAACCCAAATATCTGCCAGAACCAGTCAAGCTCTAGAAATTTTGCAGGCTACAGCTAGCTGATAGCTTTTAAATCTACTATTTTGAAGCCTTATGCTATACATGCACAAGTTAAGTATTTAGACCAAGGCTCAAGGTACCCTATGTAAGTTACTGGATAATACATGTTAGTTCCTTTGGCCTCCTCAACCTCCTATCTCTGTGTTGTTAACTCAGAGAGACCACTCCACCTTATACAGGTTTCTCTTTCTGAACTGTGGTTCAGAATGTGCTCCAGGCAGAAACCTGGGGCAATCTTAGGACTCCTGTTTGTTTGCCTGTGCTTCCTATTACACAATATCTGAAAACAGTTGTTTAGTATATTTTGGTGAAGTTTTTATTTATTTGCAGAAAGAGAGCAGATTCACTAAAAGCTATTTAATCAAGCTAAAAGTGAAAGCCTACTCAATATTTTAAGAAATATATCTGAAGGTTGATGTCTGCTCTAGAGATGGAGGTTAGGTAATTATTTGAAAAATAGACAGCAAATGAAATAGTAACTGTGAACAATATTGCCCAGGAAATGTATAACAGTTAGAATTGGGTTGAGAGAGAAGTAATGCAGATCCAACATAATGGTAATTTCAACAAGAAATTGATTTTCATTCATGCAGAAGTAAAAAGTAGGCAGTGTAGGGCTGACAGCGCAGCTGTGTTTCACAAAGTCCTCAGGAACTTAGTCTTCCTCCAACTCAATGCTCTGCCCTCCCATCTGTATTCCAGCAGACAAATGAATAAAGGGACTAGTAAGAGACAAGGAAGGCACACACTAACCGTCTTTAAGAATGGTTTCTGGATATTAACTCAGAAAACTGCTGCTTACATCCCCCTTGTCATATGGCCAACCTAGCTGTATAGGAAACTAGAAAACATACTATTTCTTCTGAATGACCATGTGCTCATTTAACAATGCTATCATACTGGTAGCAGTGGAAAATGGATATTGGAAGTCAATATTTTGTGTAGACACTCGTTTCTCTGCCACAAATGTATAAAGAGAATAGATGAGACCTAGAGAGGTCCACTGTTTAAGGATGAATAAGTATAAACATAGCCTATAAGGGATAATGGGTTGCCTACCCTGACTGTCTCTCACGGATTTCTTCCCATTCCCTCTTAAATCAATTCCAATCAAGTTTTCTTACTACAAGCCCATGAAAATTGCTTTTGTCAAAGTTATCAATGACCTCAATGTAGCAAAATTCAATAGTCAGTCCTCAGTTCTCCTCTCAATCTATTAGCACCATTTGATCTATTAGCACTGTTTATATCACACTTAATGAAGTTTTTGAAACCTTTTTCATATGGCTTCCAAGTGTCACATTCTCTCCTAGTTTTCTCCTTACTTTACATTCAGTCTTCCTCATCTTCTTTGATGTTCTCTCTTCTTCACTCAACCTCTAAACAGTAGGGTTCCCTAGGGATTCGTCTCTGGAACTTCTTACTCTCTCATAGTGATTTTTCACTGCTTCCTAAGTGGTCTTATCCAGCCTCATGACTTTAATACATCTATAGTGTCTGTGCTCAAATGATTGTCTTCAACTCAGGCATCTTCCCGAATTATATGCTACACCTTAATATCTCTACTTGGATAAATAATGACACTTGTTACTTTCTAATGTACTATATAATACATTTATTTATTTTCTCTTTTTTTCCACTGAAATATAAAATCAATGGGAAGTGGAACTCCAGGTGCATAGAATAATGACTGGAACATACTAGGCCTTCAGTAAATAATGTTTAGTGAATAAAAAGAAATAGGTGATAGGGAAAACAAGAGCACTACTTCTCTGCAGCCACAAAAGGAGGAAATTTGAAGAAGGAGTGAGTAGTTCATAGTGTATAACTCAATATTAAGTCTCCAATAAAACTAGGACTATAATTTTTTCATTAGTTTAAATGATTAGGAGGTCATGGTAACCATGATGAGAGCAAATTCAATAAATGTGTCAGGTATGAAGACAGATTGCATTGGGCTGAAAAGTGACTATAAAGTGAGTTAATAAAGATAATAAGCATATTGTTTTACTAAATTTTGAGAAGTTTGGAAGAAAAAAGGAAAAAAGATTAAAAGACTAAAATTAATTTTAAAGGATTGGAAAAATGTAGACATTTTTCAGGCCAAAAAGAATCTGAACAGTTTTGAGGGCGAGATTGAGATTCAGAAGATGGAAGAGACCATTAATAGAGAAGGTTACTCAGGGAGGGAGAATAGGTTCTGCTCAGTCTACAGCTGGCCTTGAACAGTGTGGGAGACAGGCTAACCTCTAAGGAGGAAAGAAAGCTTGTTTTGTGTATGAATCTGTCAGTACGGAATGGGAAATTGAGGTGTGGTGAGGGCAGGAAGAAAGGCTCTAACATGTGGACAGAGGCAAAGATAGAAGCAAATATTTGGAATGTGTTTAGAGAGAGAGAGTGTTGGCCGAAATAATATAAAAGGGGCATCAGTTAAAGAAGTTGGGTGACTGAAGCAAAGGAAGTCTCAAAGACTTGTAAGAGCCAAAGCAAGATTGAGAGTTTAGCTAAAAGTGAAGACCAGAATCACAGAAGATGAAAGCCCTAGAAGTAGAATCCATCTAGTCAAAAACACTTCATTTTACAAAAGAGAAAACCAAAATCAACTCAAATAAAATAACTCATCCATATGCCTTATCTCTTCAACCTCTCCCTCTTTATTAATATTTCCTGTTCATTTTTAATCATGCTCAAATGAAAAAAAAAAGTTTCTAGTCAACCCTCCAACACCCTCGAGGAATTTACTGCCTTATAATTACCTTATTTTCCTACCAAGAAGAAGGGAAGTTCCAAAGATGTCTATACTTGCCATCTCCTTTAATTTACCTCCCAGTGTTCTCAATCCATGCCAACCAAATTTCAGGGCTCGTCACTCCAGGCAATAGGTCTTGTTAACCTCTTCAAATTATATCTGTGTACCTAAACCTAATATGTAGGGTTAATTCTTTGTTTTTATTTCTTAGCAGCATTCAAATCTGTTGGCCATTTTCTCTTTCTTGAGAAACACTCTTTCTATAATGTTGATTATTCAACACACTTGGCTTTTCCTCCTACCTCTTGTTAACTGTATTAGTTTTCAGTTGTTGCATAAGAGGGGGAAAAGCTCAGAAGTTTACAACACTCTATTGTTATTACTATCTCACATTCTGTAGGTCAGAATTCAAGGCAGGCTTGACTGGATTCTCTCCTGAGAGTCTCACAAGGCTGAAGTCAAGGTACCCAGTCTGGTTGGGCTGTTTTCTGTAAGCTCTAGGAATAAGTCACTTGCAAGCTCATTCAGTTTGTTGGCAGAATCCAGTCCCTTGTGATCATAGGACTGAGGTCCATTTCTTTACTGACTCCAGGGGCCTCACTCTCAGCCCCTTACAGCTCCCATATTCCTTCTCACACGCACCACACCATCTTCAGTCAGCAGCGGCACATGGAACCCTTCTCATGTTTAGGATCTCTCTGAATTCTTCTGCCATCAGCTATAGAAAATTCTTTGCCTTTAAGGACTTATTTGATTAGATTAGACCCATGAAGATACTCCATTTTTTTAAATCAACACTGCTTTATAACTTAACACAATCAGATGAGTGATGTCACATTCACAGATTCCAGGGATTAGGGCACGGAATATTGGGGACCATTCCTAAAGGTTCTGCCTACTATACCACCCCATTTTAGTTTTATTTGCTGGATCAACCTCCTCTAACCACCTTTAAATGTTGGGGAGCCTCAGGCTCAGCCTTAGGTTCTCTTTTCTTCTGTCATGTACTGTGTCTGAAGTCAATCTTACTTATCTCTCCCCATGCCGTCAGTTACCATCTGTAGAGCAATAACTCTAAAATTTACATCATCACCCCAACCTCTCAACTCCAAAACCATTATGTGAAACTACCTTTTTTTTTTTTTTTGAGATGGAGTCTCACCCAGCCTGGAGTACAGTGGCGTGATCTCGGCTCACTGCAAGCTCCGTCTCCCGGATTCACACCATTCTCCTGCCTCAGCCTCCCGAGTAGCTGGGACTACAGGTGCCTGCCACCATGCCGGGCTAATTTTTTTGTATTTTTAGTAGAGACGAGGTTTCACCATGTTAGCCAGGATGGTCTCAATCTCCTGACCTCGTGATCCGCCCGCCTCAGTGTCCGAAAGTGCTGGGATTACAGGCGTGAGCCACCGCGCCCAGCCGTGAAACTACTTATTCTACACCTTCACTTGGAGATCTCACAGACTTTTCAAATTCAATATGCCTAAACGTGAATGCAAGATCCTCCCCACCCAAGACTGATGCTCAGCCATTGCCCCTCAATGCGCAGCACTACCAGCCACTCAGTTGCACAAGCTAGAAAGCTAAACATCATCTTTGACCTACTGTTGCTCTATATCACTCTGAATACTCATTTCATCATCAAGTCCTGCTCTTTTACCACCTAAATATTTATAAAATCCCTCCACTTTTCTTTATCTCCATTCTTAGCACCCTAGTCCAAACTATCAGTCATCCCTCACCTGGCCTACTACAACTACCACCTCAGAGAGTACCCTGATAGCTACTATACCCCAACTAACTTATTCTCATCACCATCAGAATGTTCTTTTTAAACCCCATATTTTGCATATCACTGATATGCAAAAATTAACCCAAAATAATCATAGACCTAAACATAAAACCAACATTTAAAACATAAGAAAACACATAAGATAAATTTGTATGGCTGTGAGTTAATCAAAGATTTCTTAGATGCTACACAAAAGACACAATCCATAAAATAAATAAATGATAAATTGGATTTTATCCAAAATTCAACTGCTCTTTAAAAGACACTATTAAGAGAATGAAAAGACAAGTGACAGATTAGGAGAAAATATCTGCAAACATATATCTGATGAGAAACTATACATAAAGAACACTGATAACTCACTAATAATAAGACAACCCAATTTTAAAATTACAAAGAATTTAAGTAGACATTTATCCAGAGAATATATACAAATGACCAATAAGCACATGAAAAGATGTTATTAGCCAAAAGGAAAATGCAAATCAAAACCACAATGAAATACCAAATCATATCCACTAAGATGGCTATATTCAAAAAGACAGATGTAACAAGTGTTCTTAAGGATGTGGAGAAACCTCAACCGTGTTACACTGCTGGGGGGAATGTAAAATGATACAGCTGGTTTAGAAAATGGTTTGACAGTTCACTAAGATGTTAAACACTGAGTAACCATAACACTCAGAATATCCACACCTAGCTATACAGTCAAGAGAAATGAAAGCACATGTCCAACATAAAAATGTGTACATGACTCTCCATAGCAAAGTAATTCATAAAAGCCAAAATGTAGAAATAATACAAATGTCCATCAGTCAATGAATGGATAAAATAAAATGTGGTATATCTACACAATAGAATATTATTTAGACTTACCAAGAAAGGAAATTTTTTTTTTTTTTTTGAGACAGAGTCTCGCTCTGTCACCCAGGCTGCAGTGCAGAGGCGATCTCGGCTCACTACAAGCTGCGCCTCCCAAGTTCACACCACTCTCCCGCCTCAGCCTCCTGAGTAGCTAGGACTACAGGCGCCCACCACCACACCCGGCTAATTTTTTGTATTTTTAGTAGAGACAGAGTTTCACCGTGTTAGCCAGGATGGTCTCGATCTCCTGACCTCGTGATCCACCCACCTCGGCCTCACAAAGTGCTGGGATTACAGGCGTGAGCCACCATGCCCGGCCACAAAGAAAGGAAATTCTAACAAAAACTACAACATGGGTGAACCTTGAAAACATTATGCTAAGTGAAGGAAGCCAATTGCAAAAGAACACAAATTGTACGATTCCATTTATATGAAATGTCATTAAGCAAATCCATAATGTCAGATTAGTGGTTGCCTAGGATTGGGGAAAATGCTCAGTGGCTGAAAATGGGTGTGGGGTTTCCTTTTGGGGCGATAAAAATGTTCTAACATTTATTGTGGTGATAGTTGCACAACTCTATGAACATATGAAAAAAACATTGATTCGCACACTTTAGGGGAATTAGGATGTATGTGAATTATATCTCAAAGCTGTTTTTAAAAGCTGTTAAAAAATATAAATAAATAAAACATCTGATAAAAGACTTGTATCAAGAATATATAAAGAACTCTCAAAACACAATAAGAAAATTTAAAAAAAATTTTTTTTGAGACAGTCTCTCTCTGCTGCCCAGGCTGGAGTGCAGCAGCACGATCCCAGCTCACTGAAACTTCAAATTCCTGGGCTCAAGTCATTCTTTGGCCTCAGCATCCTGAGCTGGTTCTACCACACTTGGCTAATTTCTTTCTTTCTTTCTTTCTTTTTTTTCTGAGACAGAGTCTCACTCTATTGCCCAGGCTGGAGTGCAGTGGTGTGATCTGGGCTCACAACAAGCTCCGCCTCCCAGGTTCACGCCATTCTCCTGCCTCGGCCTCCTGAGTAGCTGGCACTACAGGCACCCGCCACCACGACCGGCTAATTTTTTTGCATTTTTAGTAGAGAACGGGGTTTCACCATGTTAGTCAGGATCGTCTCGATCTCCTGACCTCGTGATCTGCCTGCCTCGGCCTCCCGAATTGCTGGGATTACAGGCATGAGCCACCACACCTGGCCAGACAAAAGATTTGAATAAACATTTCACCAAAGAAGACATATGGATGGCAAAAACTAAAAAATTAAATGACATCATTAGTCATTAGGGAAATGAAAATCAAAGCCACAATGAGACACCACTATACAATTATCAGAATGGCTGCAATCAAAACACATGACAATGCTATTGAGACTGCTCTCGAGAGTACAGATAAACTGGAACTCTACTGGGAATGCAAAATAATACAGCCAAAAGAGTTGGCAATTTTCCATAAAATTAAAGAGCACATACCATACAACCCAGCAATGCAACGATTAAGTGTTTAAAGTGAAATGAAAACTTATGTTCACAGAAAAACATGCTCACAAATGTTTTTAGGGTCTTCATTCAAAATTGCTGAAAACTGGAAACAATCCAAATATTCTTCACTGATGAGTGAATCAAGAGACTGTATAAAATGGAATAAAAACAAACTCAGAAAGGAAAATGAACAAGTGATACATGCAACAACATGGATGAATCTAAAGTACTTTAGGCTAAGAAGCCAAACTCAAAAGACTACCTAGAGTATGATTCCATTTCTGTGCTGGGACACAAAGCCCATCAATGCTTATAATGGGCTGAAGGTTGGAAGAGTGGCTAACTACAAAAACCCACAAGGGAACTTTGGGAGGGTGACAATATTCTGTATTTTGATTCTTATGTTGGTTACATACTTGCATGCATTTGTTAAAACTACTAGAATTTTTAAGGGTGAATTTTATATTATGCCAATTATGGTCTATGAAAAAGGAAACCTTCTCTGACCCCCCCATACCAGGGGGGCCCCCCTATTTGTGTGCTGTCACACTATTATGCCATTTGTCCCTCGTGTTGAAATAACAATATTTTAGATGTAATACAATAATGCCATTATGAGCATTAATTTTACTGGTTTCATGTTTACTTTTTTAATGCAGCTGCTGGGAAAGTTAAGATTACATATGTGGCTGCACTATATTTCCGTTGGACAGCTTTGCCGTAGCACCTGCCTAAATTGGTAGGAGAAGAAACCCTTAGACCTTTAACCCTCACCAGTTAGAAAAAGAAATAGTTTGGCTATATTCTTTTCAAATCCATCCTTTGGTATTCCCACCGTAAGTTCTATGCTGAACTAGACTCAATATAGATGTCTAACTTTTCCTCGTCCTTTTCCATTCAGTAGAAAATCAGCAGATCATCTTCCCCTCCCAGGTGATGCGTGCTCCCCTTTCTGTGTCCATTCACCTTGGGAAAGTTTCTCCACACCTGAACAACATGCCTGTAAGTCAGTCACGTAGTTAGACAACAAGAAACCTGAACTGCAAAGCTTCCTCCAAAGGACACCCCTTCGTATAGTACAGGCTCAACAAAGCCAATGTTTATTTTTGTCTTTTGGAAACACTTGTGTGATGTGAGCCAATTCCTCTAATAACTCTCCTCATGTATACAGGGTTCTGTCTTTCTGGAGAACCCTAACTTGATATTTCTATTATTCTCACTTTTTTTCCCATTCTCTGGAGAGCAATGGGCTCAATCACCGTATGTTAGCATGGGACAGCAAGGAAGGCAGACGTCAGCTTCAGGAGGAGGGACAAATCCAAGGGCCAGGACCCTGGGAAGCATCTCTGAACTGCCTGGCTGTGGGAGTCTGGACATCTGTACAAGCAGAATTAATGTTTTTAACACCTCCTTTCTGTCAAGCACCTTGCATATATTATATAATCCAATCTTACAACAATATTCTGAAGATAAAGCAAAAGGACAAAAAAAATCTTGCCCCAAACCCATTCCCTTTCCATTTACTCCCTGTGGGCTTACAGGAATAAGTGAAGTGCCTGAAGGAGGAGAAACTGTGTTAACAGGATTGCCACACCTGTAACTTCTGAGTAGCATCCCAGAACTGACACACAAAATAGTCACACTCCTTTCCATTGACAGTATTCACAATGCATTTATTTTACTTTTGCCTTCTCTAATATTCATAAAAATCCCATGCCCTTCCTTCTCAATCTTAGGAATCTGATATGCAGCCCATTGAGAACATAGCTTAGAGCTGTACTTTCTGCATATTACCACCAGACAAGATTTACCAAAATGGAGTTTTACTTTCTATCGTTTACACTGTAAAAACTACAGAATTGAAATATAAAATCTTAATTACATATGCCACTCCTCCATACACCAACATGCTGAGGGTCCTGCTTCAGGTGAGGTTCCTTGATTGACGATATTCTGTATACCTCGATGTGCCAAGAGGGTGAGCTGTCCCTGAGGACATAAGAGTTTCACATTTATTTTCATTTGCTTCACCATAGTAACTGATATGGTTTGGCTGTGTCCCCAACCAAATCTCATCTTGAATTGTAGCTCCTATAATTCCCAAGGCTTATGGGAGGTACTGGGTGGGAGATAATTGAATCACGGGGGCAGTTTCTCCCACACTGCTCTCGTGGTAGTGAATAAGTCTCATGAGATCTGATGGTTTTATAAGGGGTTTCCCTTTTCATTTGGTTCTCATCCCCTCTTTGCCTGCCTCTTTTTTCTTTATAAATTACCCAGTCTCGGGTATGTCTTTATCAGCAGCATGAAACCGGACTAATATAGTAACCATTTTACTATTTATATGTGTGCCATAATATCATGTCATATACCTTAAATATACACAACAAAAGATATTTTTTAAAAAACAAATTTCACATATCAGAACCTCCTAGACCTCACCCTATGCAACTCTACCTTTTGCTGATTCTGATTTGTATCCTTTTGCTATAATAAAATGTAAATGCATGTATGACACTTTCGATGAGTTCTGTGAGTTGCGTCAGTGAATTATTGCACCTGAAGGTGTAGTGAGAAACCCCAAGTTTGTAGCCAGCTGGTCAAAAGTGAAGATGTCCTGGGAACCCCCAAATTTGCAGCTGGTGTCTGAGGTGAGGGCAGTGCCCTGCATCTGTGAAATTCAGCCTGACTCCAGGTAGTTAGTGTCAGAAGTCATTTTTCTGATCTCACAAAAGTGGTATTGGCTACTGACCTGGACTGACTGAAACATGTGTTTTGGGAAGAGAAAGAATGAAAGGGTGAGACACAAATACTCATTGATTCCTGAATGGCTACCTGGTCCCTAGTGACCTGTGATATAAAATTGCAGCTGTGCAGTGATCAGTTATGATATAAGTTGAGGATCTCTGTTTTCTGATTGCTAACTCTTATCTTAACTGATAAGAGTTAAGCGATGGAATTTGTCTTTTTTTTGAGACAGAGTCTTGCTCTGTCACCCAGGCTGGAGTGCAGTGGCACGATCTTGACTCACTACAGCCTCCACGTCCCGGGTTCAAGTAATTCTCCTGCCTCAGCCTCCAGAGTAGCTGGGACTACAGGCGCATGCCACCACTTCCGGCTAATTTTTGTAGTTTTAGTAGAGACAGTTTCACCATGTTGGCCAGGCTGGTCTCAAACTCCTGACCTCAAGTGATTCACCCACCTTGGCCTCCCAAAGCATAGGGATTACAGACATGAGCCACTGAGCTGGGCCAGCAGTGGAATTTAGAAAAGAGAGACCCAGCTCCTAAGGGAGCTGGCTCATTGTAATGCATCAGAAAATGCAAAGTAACAAGAAAGAGCAAAACATGCAATTCTTTGCTTATTGTGATCCATGGTAGCTAAAATCAAAGAAATAGACAAGCCAAGCTTAGATTCTGGCTGGCCTGACTACAGCCTGAGGACTTGGGATCATCATGGAAAGGATGTGTTGGGATAGATCCTGATGCTGGATCAAGTTCAGATGCTGGCCCACCAGAGATATAGCCACTAGCCTCAAAGCCATTTCCAAAAGGAAAGGTTATGCTGAAACTTGGACAGTGAAGACTGGTGTAGTTCCTAAGAGAATGGGGAAAAATGAAGAGGGTGAAATAAAAGAGAAAGAGAAAGGATGTCAGGGATCTCATCCCAGCAGGGTGGAAATCTTTAAATGCCTATAAAGAAATGGAGTGAATAAAGCAGATGTTCATGGGCCAAAAAAAGCTCTTAATGCAGCACTCTTAGGATTTGGGACGGGAGCCCCTGCTGTTCCTCTAATATTGAAGGGTCTGCTTCATTCACCCCAGTTTGATGGAATTAAGAAATATTACCTCAGATCACCTGCCATGATGATCCCACAATCTAATCAGTACAAGGATTGACAAAAGGACCTGAGTTCCTTGAATGAATTCAAGTAGTTGGTGTCAGAAATCATTTCCAAAAGGGCAAAATCCCTTGATGAGGTGAGGGAACTCAGGTACAGAGAATGTTTAAAATCGTAGAAGGTGAAAGAGAGGCCGGGGCAATCATCCAAGACTGCCCAGACCCCCAGGTGAGCCCTCCTGCCGTTCTACATGCCATGACCTTAAGCACTGGAAAACACAGGTTTCAATCCATAGTTTGCAGAGGAACAGAAACCATCTCATTTAATTGATAAAAGAGTTGAGAAAAACTCATTTACCCTATTGTCTTTGTGCAAATATAATTTGGACAGAGCTGCCCATGCTGAGGATGAGCATGGTGCGGGGTAGGGGAGAAGGTGGGAAGTGACAGAGATTCCATACAAGCACACTACAGGAAAAGAAGAGAGTGGAGGAATCAATTCAGGTAGAAAACATAGCTCAAGAAAAAGAACAGTTTTATGCCATGGAAGAATCTAAGAGAAATACTTTAATAAGGTAAAAACCTCAAAGCTGCAAAGATACAACAACAGAAATATGTGAAAAGAGAGACTGTAAAGCTAAGGAAAAGAACTGAAGGTCACAACACAATATCTGAACTGATGAATTGGAAAGTAATTATAGTTGAGAGTTGAGTTATAGACATAGAGGAAAGAGCTGCCGTGATCTCAGAGAATGCAGACGAAAAAAAATCAAAGATGCAAGAATTAGACAAGATAATGTATGGAGAATCCTAAAGGACAATTGGTATCTGTGAGGTAGGGAACCTAACAAATAGAATATAAAAGATATTTAATTATTATAAGAGGAAATTTTCCTGAAAGGAAAAAATGAATCTGTAGCTCCCAGGAAAAGTGACATAGAGTGACTGAGACACAGGTATTGCCTGGTTAAAGTGCTTAACTTCAAGGATGAAGAAAGAATTCTTCAGGCATACATTTAGATGTATATGCAAAGAGTTTGGGAAAATTTGACTAGCCTTGTTCTTCTTCAAAGCATCAATAAGTCAACGGGAGACCTTTGCATGGCTACAAAAGACTGAGGGCAAGAAGGTGTTACCTGTTACCTAAAAATATAATCTCTCTCCAAGGAATTCTTCAAGAACAAAGGCAAGAGGCAAAGTTTCTCAAATATGAAGGGACTTGGGGAGTGAAGCACTACTGAAAAAATTATTTGATCACAGCCATTCAAGGAATAAAACAAAATGACTGATACTTACCAATGAATAAATTTAAACAGACTGGGAACGGTGGCTCACACCTGTAATCCCAGCACTTTGGGAGGCCGAAGCAGGCAGATCACTTGAGGCCAGGAGTTCAAGACCATCCCGGCCAACATGGTGAAACCCTGTCTGTACAAAAAAAAAAAAATACAAAAATTAGCCGAGTGTGGTGGTACATGCCTGCAATCCCAGCTATTCAGGAAGATGAGGCACAAGAATCACTTGAACCTGGGAGGTGGAGGTTGCAGTGAGCCGAGATCGTGCCACTGCATTCCAGCCTGAGTGACAGAGCAAGACTCTGTCTCAAAAAAAAAAAAAATTTGATAAAGAATTAACACTAAACAGCCATGAGGGATACGGTTACACTCCTTGGCAATTTATAAATAATAAAATAATTGGAGATAGGAGATGATAGAAGAGCAAGATGGGAGAAGAACTCATTTTCTTGCCTTTTTTAGCAGAAAAAAAGTAAACACTGTTTAAAAGTGAAGACATGATGTGAGCAATAGGGATTACTGGAATACACTAGAGTGAAGTGGTGATTAGTCACTTCATTATTGTCATGTGGAAATGTCGGCCAAGGTGATTCTGATGAGACGTCATATTTAAAATCTTGGTTGATAATTCTAGATGACAGGGAGCATCTAAAGGATTTTAGGCAGAGGAGTGACATACAAAGGTTGCATTTTTAAATTATTCCCCATGCCTGCTGTGATATGAGCCTCCAGGATTCAAGGAAAATTTGAAGAGAACAAGATGGTGGCAGGACAACCAGCTGGGAGCACGAGACCAGCTGTCCAAGTGAGAAGAGGAGGGCTATGGTGAGTCGGCTGGACTGTGTTGATTGGGGATTAAGGAGAGGAGTCAAGGTGGACTCCCAGGTTTCAGCTTAGGAGGCGAGGTGGCATTAGCAAATGACACAGAGAGCACAGAATGAGACAGATACATGACCAAGAAAATGTGACAAAATATTAATAATTGAGGAATATGCACATACACACACACACACACGTGGGGGCTAACATTTAATGTGAAACAATTTCGGACTCACAAAATGTTTCCAGGAAAAAAAAAATCTCTTCTATATCCTTCACCCATATTCCCCAATTACTAATACTTTATCACATTTACTTGGTCACTTATCTGTCTATCATCAAGTCAACTTACTTTTTGTTGCATTTCAATGTAAGTTACCGTTATCGGTACACTTCACCCAAAACAATTCAAAATGCACACCATTAACTAGAGTCAGTATTTGTTTTTATTATTTTGAAGTAAAATTTATACATAGTGAAACGCTTACGTCTTTAACATACTATTTGAGGAGTTTTGACAAATATATAAACTCTTGTCAATATATAAACTCTTGTCAATATATAGAGTATTCCACCACCCCAAAACATTTCCTAAAGTCTCTACCCATTACTGTCTCTACTCCACCTGGAAACGCAGAGAGGCACAGCCCTATCTCTTGCACCCATAAGGACACTCACAGCATAGACTGGGCGAGGGCCAGCATCTCTGGACTGACTGCCCATCAGGGAGGGCTTAGGCCTCAGCCAGCTGCTGCAGCAACGAGAGAGTCCCATAGAGGGCAGACAGGGGCATCTTTGCTTCTACATCCCAGGTTGACCTGGGGTTATCCAGCTCCGTCCTAAGGCCACACTCCTCCAGCAGGCCATAGGTGATGGCCAAACCCTCACTCTGGAGTGGGGCGAGGAGCTCAGGTTTGAGGGTGAAGGGAATGCTCCAGGGGTATCTGAAGTTTGGCTCCAGGATGCTCCTTACCTAGAAGAAAGATGATCAGGTTCTACAGACCAGCCTTTAAGATCAGGAAGAGAAGGCTTCTGCCCCAGTATCCAGGGGCCATGCAGGATAATAAAAGGAGCAAGAGCTTTGGGATCCAGCGGACCAGGAGTAACATGCTGGTCATACCCTACGATCCAAAGATCAAGTTATTGGAAATCAGGGAGCATTGGTTCCGCATCTATGAAATGGTGAAAATAAAACTCCCCTTGTAGAATAGTGGTGTTTTTATTTCTAAATGTATATGCATATATGTATGTATATAGTATATGCATATAAAGGTATGTATTTATATACACATATACTTGGAGAGAGAAAAACAGAGAAATTAGCAAATCATAACAGTGTAACTAGAGCAGAAGTAATTAGCAAATGGTAACAGTGTGACTAGAGCAGGAATATTATATCCCCTTAGACCTCAAAGTCCTGTGCTCCTATATGGCTATTTTAGGCCTGTTGGGGAATGCTGCAGGGATTGCCATGGAAACTAAGACCCTCCTGAGGGAGGCTTATACCCACTGGACCAGGTCTCCAGAAGGACACTGCAGCCAAGGATTCCCCAGTGGCCACCCTGTGATCTGGACTCCCCTCCCAGCAAAAACCTGTATCATCTCTCTTTCCTCAGAATCATTCTTCTTATCTCTGGTTCCCTCACCCTCTTCCCTGAACTTCTGGCCCCTGGGAAGTTCTCACCAGCTCCTGTTGCTGAAGCAGGATCCTCTTCTCCATGGAACAGGCCAGCAAATCGTGTTGGAAGTCACTCAGCACTGAGGGTGGGGGACATGTGGGGAAAGACAGTAGTGAAGAATCCAGATTTTTCCTCCCACCATAAAGCAGGAGACCCCCTGAGAGAATAACTCCAAGGCAGAGGAATAAAACCCATTAGACTTGAAGGTCAAGCTCCCTGCCCTGGGAAGCCCTTCAGAATGGTCTCCAGGATGCTAAATAAGAGGGACCAGAGGACGGGATTCAGGGGCTGAAAGCTGGAATCACCCACCTCCAATGATTTGTGGATGAACATAAACTGGTAACTCCCTAGGCCTTAAACTCAATTCTGTGTCATACGGCAAGTTATCACAGTGAGCCCTCTGACCTTAGAGAGAGCTGTGATGTAAGGACGAAAGATCATGGCATTCAAAGGGCTTTGGAGACACAGCATCTAACACAGCTTTTTGCGGGTCCTGGGGACCAATCTTGTGATTCTCCCATTCTTCCCTTTAATTACTCTTACCCATTATGGCTTCAAGGAGATAAAGAATGGGGTCCTTTGGGTTAAACCATGCATGGTTTGAATCCTGTTGAAGTTTCTTTAGGATGGCACCACCAGGGCCATCCAAATGACCTGAGCTGTCCAATTCCAGCTATAGAAGACAGGTATTATTGTTAATAATAATACTAATAACAGTAATGTTATATAATTTGCCTGTGTCTACTGGTGATAACCAAGGGGTAGGCATGAGGGTTCTCTACCTCCCCCAGGGGATTCCAAGCAGCCTCAGTAGTGGGGGCGACACTTCCCTGGCCCATTGTGCCCGGCACCAGAGTCCCCAGTCTTTCTCATTCCCCTGGCATCTTGCTTATTCTTCCTCCTCCATGTAACTTGGGAGTCATATCTCCTAACCAATCCCATTTACAGCTTTTACCAGACCTATGCAACTGTGGAGCCCCTCACCATGTTCATCAGGTCCTGTAGAGCCCCTCTGTCTCTGAGCATGGCCAGGATACTGTAGAACATGACATCCTGAACATCCTTTGAGAGCTGAGCCAGTGTCTTTATTTTCTGGAAAACCTCCTCTTGTAGATGCTTGAAATCTGCTCTCAGGCATCAACGCCGACCAGAAAGTGGGGACAAGTCTTTGATTAGAACATCCTTGGAATGACAGCCTGTTTGCACGAATATGAACCAAACTCCTCTATCCCTTTCAGCTGCTAACCAAAATTGTCTCTGCTAATGGCATGCTTGAGCTTTGTGGATAGAGCTGGCATAAGAAGGAAAAAGATGGACAATCCAGTGTTCTGAAAAGGGGAAATAGGGTACTGGGAGCAGAGATTGAGATTCTGAAAAGACATCATCACAAATGGAAGAGAATGGCAAAGTGGTCATTTCTGGGACATGTCAGGAATACTGTAAAATCTAGCATTGGGCCTTAGAGGCAAAAAACTTAGATGCTCTGGAATCAGTTTCCATATTGGTTAAATGGGATGTTATGAGGATTAAAAGAGTTTATGTAGGCCAAGCATGATTGCTCACACCTGTAATCCCAGCACTTCGGGAGGCTGACATGGGGGGATTGCTTGAGGCCAGGAATTTAAGACCAGCCTGGTCAACATAGTGAGACCCCATCTCAAAAAAACAAGAGAGAGAGAGAGAGTTTATGTATGTAAGGCACTTGGCACATATAAGCTACCCTTATTATCATGCAATTTTGCCAGTATCCTCAATGTTTATGAAGAATTAACCAAGGGGTGGATGCTGGGGGCCCTCTGTCTCTCCCAGGAGACATCTGGCTCCCTCAGGGTGAACTGCTTGGGATGAGAGATCACTGGATTGGAAGCTCCAAAGAGGCAAGAATTTGTCTGCTTGGTTCACAGCCATAACTTTCAGGTTCAAAATAATTCTTGTTGTCCAATAAGTCCTCAATAAATGTTTGTTTGTTTCATGAGCAAAGTGCAAATTTGGAAGTGGACCTCAGTTTCTGACTTGCATAGAAACCACCAACTTGGGTGCTCAGACTTGCAGCTCCCACCCAGAAGCCCCAGGTTCCCCCTTAATAAATACTTACTTTGCCAGAAGGGTTCCTCTATTCTTCCTAGAAGGAGAATCAAGTCATCATCTCACTTCCTCATCCCCCCAAATTTGCTTTTCAGATGTTTTGGAGGGTTCTGCTCTCCTACCACCTCCTCCCTCTTACTCAACTTCTTCCTGCCCCCATTCCCATTCATCCTCCATGTTCTCAGCTTTCTGGACCCTTCCCATTCCACATGACCAAACGCCAGGCCCTAGGGCGGTGGTGGCAAAGGCGAGGCAGGGGCAATCTGCCCTACTTACCCCATGTGTGCAGGATGGGATCCCCACCCCCACCTCCAGCAAACTCACACTCACCTACTGGGAGGATGTGAACTTGTTCGTATTCTAAAAAAAGAAATGAAATTCCTCACCAAAGAGGCTCAAAGACTAGATTTCTCCAACCTTCTGCCCTTCTTTCCCTGAACCACTCTTCTCTATCTGTTCCTGCCCTTTTCCCCAGAGGCCAGACCCCAAGACTTTGGGTAATAGCACCAAAGGCAATCAGGTGGTTTTTTGTTGTGCAGATTGTCCTGGAAGGGGAGGGCCAGATTCCACTCACTTGGCAAATGCCCGCTCAAAAATTGCTGTGTCAGAAATAGCTCTGGAAAGAGAAAGAAAAGTGTTTACTCACCAAACATTAGTCTACCCCTACTTTTCCTCCTCTACTTCTTTCCCTCTTGGTCTCACCTCTAACTCCTCTATCCTCCCCTTATTTCTCACATGTTCCATCAGTTCAGTTAAAAAACTTCCCCAGAGAGATGGATCCCCAGGCAGCCTCTTTCCCCAACAGACTCACACCTATCCCAATGTTCAAAGGAGAAAGCCTGGTTTCCCTGTGGCCCCAGGGGACAGTGGCTGGGTCAGAGGAAGGGGACAGTTGCAGGAAATGGAGGAGCATGACTGGGGGAATGTTCTCTGTGGGTTTGTGTGGGCTGAGCCCAAGCAGGGCTCTTGTGGGAATCCAAAGGGGGTCAGGGATCAGCAGTGCCTAAGTTCTAAGCAAAAAAACACTGCCAGAGGAGGATGAGCAAGATGGTGCAATAGAAGCCTACATGGTTCATACACCCCACATAAACACCAAATTTTAACAACTATCTGCACAAAGAAAAGCATCAACATAGAAGTAAAAATAAAGTGAGCAATCACAGTACCTGGTTTTAACTTCATATCATTGGATGAGGCATTGAAGAGGGTTGGAGAGATGGTATGAAATGATGGTAGCAACCCCTCACTCCTCGCAGCACAGTAGCCTACCATTTCGGAAATTTCGTACTCTTGGGAGAGAGGGAGAGCAGAATGACTGGGTAACTTTACATTGAACTCAGTACTGCCTTGTCATAGCAGAGAGCAGAGCCAGGCTGGGCTCAATCAGTGCCAGTGCACGAAGGGAGCATTTGAACAAGACCCACTCAAAGAGGAATTGCCCATTCCTTCTTTCAGAACTCAAGTTTCTTGGCAAGCCTTGCAAATGCCAGCCAAAGAGCTCTGGAGTCCTAGGTAAACTTAAAGGTCAGTCTAGGACAGAAGGACTGCAATGTTTAGGCAATTTCTAATGCTGAGCTAGGCTCAGAGCCAGAGGACTAGAGTGACATGTGACCTAAAGAGACACCAGCTGGGGTGACTAAAAAAAGGTGCTTGCGCTACCCCACCCCCAATCTCAGGCAGTGCAGCTCACAGAAATGAAAGTGTCTCATTCCCTTTGTTTAAGTGAAGAGAGTGAAGAGTACAGAGGATTCTGTCCCGCATCGTGGATATCACCTCAGCCACAGTAGGACAGGAGACTGGGTAGAGTTGTGAGGCCCCCATTCCAAGCCCTAGCTCCTGGACAACATCTCTAGACACCCCTGGGTGAAAAGGGAACCTACTGCCTTGAAGGGAAGAACACAGTCCTGGCAGAATTCATCATCTGCTGAATACAGAACCATTGGGCCCTAAATAACCAGCAGCAGTACCCAGGTGGTATGTAGTGGGCCTTGGGCTCTGAGATGTGCTAACTAAAGGTGTGACTCAGCATATTCCCAGCTGCGGTGGCTATGGTGAAAGACTCCTTCTGTTTGAGAAAAGCAGAGGGAAAAGTAAAGAGGAGGCTTTGCCTTGCATCTTAGGTACCAGTTCAGCCACAGTGGTGTAGTGCACCAAGCAGGCTCTTGGGGCCCTCAAGACCAGGCCTAGGGTCTTCAACAGCATTTCTGGACCTGCCCTGGGCCACAGAAGAGCCCACTTCCCTAAAGGGTGAGACCCAGGCCAGACACCATTTACCACAAGCTGACTCATGAGCCCTTGGGCTGTCAGCAAACATATGCAGTGGCCTGGCAGAACCCCTCATGGGCCGGTGGTAATGGTGGCCACAGAGAGAGCTCCTCTACCTGTGAAAAGGGGAGGGAAGAGTGGGGAAAACTTTGTCTTGTGATTTGAGTGACAGCTTAGCAGCAGTAGAGCAGAACATAAGGTAAATTTATAAGATATTTTACTTCAATCCCTAGCTCCCAAACAGCATCTCTGTACCCACCCAAGGCCTGGGAAAACTCACTGCTCTGACGGGAAGTGAAAAAATCTCACTGGCTTTGTCACCTGCTGATTGTAGAGCCCTAGGGCCTTCAGTGAACACAGGTAGTAGCCAAGTAGTGGTTACAGCAGGCCTTGGGTGAGACCCAGTGCTGTGCTGGCTTCAGGTCTAACCCAGTGCAGAGCCAGTGGTGGTGGCCACAGGGGTGCTTGCATCACCACACTCCCAATTTCAGGTGGCTCAGTACAGAGAGAGAGAGACCTCATTTGTTTGGGAGAAAGTAAGGGGAAAAAACAAGAGTCTCTGCCTGGAAATCCAGGTAATTTTTCTGGATCTTATGCAAGACCACCAAAGCAGAACCTCTATGAGTCTGCAACAACCACAGAGATATCAAACAGGAAAACCAAGTCCCTTTGAATACCTGGAAAGCCTTCTCAAGGACAGGCACAAACAAGCCTGAGAAGACTAAAATAAATACCTAATTCATCAATGCCTACATACCAAAAAACATCTACAAGAATCAGGATCATCCAGGAAAACATGACCTCACCAATGAACGAAACAAGGCACCAGGGACAAATCCTGGAAGAAAAAGAGACATGTGATCTTTCAGATGAAGAATTCAGAATAGTATTTTGAAGAAACTCAAAGGAATTCAAGATAACTTGAGAAGAAATTCAGAATTCTATCAGGCACATTTAAAAAAGAAATTGAAATAATTAAAAAGAATTAAGCCAAAATTCTGGAGTTGAAAAATGCAGTTGACATACTGAAGAATGCCTGAGAGTCACTTAATAATAGACTCAATCAAGCATAAGGAAGTATTAGTGAGCTTGAAGACAGCCTATTTGAAAATATACCGTCAGAGGAACCAAAAGAAAAAAGAATAAAAAACAATGAAGCACACACATATGATCTAGAAAATAGCCTCAGAAAGACAAATCTAAAAGTTGACCTTAAAGAGGACACAGAGAAAGAGATAGGGTAAGAAAGTTTATCCAAAGGAATAATATTAAAGAATTTCCCAAACCTATAGAAAGATACCAACATTCAAGTACAAGTAAGTTATAGAACACCACGCAGATTTAACCCAAAGCAGACTACCTCAAGGTGTCTCATAATCAAACTCTCAAAGATCAAGGATAAAGAAAGGATCTTAAAGCAGCAAGGAAAAAGAAACAAATAGCATACAATGGAGTTGCAATATGTCTGGCAGCAGACTTTTCACTGGAAACCTTACAGGCCAGGAGAGAATGGCATGACATATTTAAATTGCTGAAGAAAAAAAAACCTTTTATCCTAGAAGAGTATAACTGGCAAAAATATCCTCCAAGGATGAAGGAGAAATAAAGACATCTCCAGACAAACAAAAGCTGAGTAATTTCATCAACACCAGACCTGTCTTATAAGAAATGTTAAAGGGAGTTCTTCAGTCTGAAAGAAAAGGACATTAATGAGCAAGAAGAAATCATCTAAAGATACAAAACTCACTGCTAATAGGAAGCACATGGAAAAACATAAACATTATAACACTATAATTATGGCATGTAAACTATTCTTAAGCAGAAAGACTAAATGATGAATCAATCAAAAATAACTACAACTTTTCAAGACATAGTACAATAAGACATAAAGACAAACAACAAGAAGTTAGAAAGCGGGAAGGTAAAGTGTAGAGTTTTTACTTTATTAGGTTTCTTTTTGCCTATTAGTTCATTTGTTTATGCAATCAATGTTAAGTTCTCATCAGTTTAAAATAATGGGTTATGAGACAGTATTTGCAAGTCTTACAGTAACCTCAAATCAAAAGACTTACAATGGACACAGAAAACAAAAAGCAAAAAAAAAAACACCATCAGAGAAAATCACCTTCACTAAAAGGAAGGCAAAAAGGAAGAAAAGAAGGCCAGAAAACAATAACAAAATGGCAGGATTAAATCCCTATTTATCAACAATAACATTAATTGTAAATGGGCTAAACTCATCAATCAAAAGATGAAGAGTGGCTGAAAGGATTAAAAAAAAAAACAAGATTCCATGATCTGTTACCTACAAGAAACACACTTCATCTATAAAGATACACATAGACTGAAAATAAAGGGATGGAAAAAGATATTCCATGCTAATGGAAACCAAAAAAAAAAGCAGAAATAGCTATACTTACATCAGACAAAATAGATTTCAAGACAAAAACTGTAAGGAGAGACAAAAAAAAGGTCATTATATAAAGATAAGGGGGTCGATCTAACAACATGATATAATGATGGTAAATATATATGCACTCAACACTGCAGTACCCAGATATATAAAGCAAATATTATTAGAGCTAAAGAGAGAGATATTATTAGAGCTAAAGAGAGAGAGAGCTAAAGAGAGATTATTAGAGCTAAAGAGACAGTAATAGGTGGAGACCTCAACACCCTACTTTCAGCACTGAACAGATCTCACAGAAAGAAACTCAAGAAAGAAGCCTGAGACTTATTCTGCACTATAGAGCAAATAGAGCTAATAGATACTTAGAGAACATTTCATCTAAAGGCTGCAGAATACACATTTTTTTCTCCTCAGCACATGGATCATTCTCAATGATACATCATATGTTAGGTTATAAAACAAGCATTAAAACATTCCAAAATATTGAAATAATATCAGCCATCTTCTCTGACCACAATGGAATAAAACTAGAAATCAACAATAAGAGGAATTTTGGAAACCATACAAATACATGGAAATTAAACAATATGCTCCTGAATGACCAGTGGGTCAAGGAAAACATTAATAAGGAAATTGAAACATTTCTTGAAACAAATGAGAATGGAAACACAACATACCAAAAGCTGTGGGACAAAGCAAAGCAGTACAAAGAGGCATATTTATAGCTATAAGTGCCTACATCAAAAAAGAAGAAAAACTTCATAAAAAACTACCTAATGATGCATCTTAAAGAACTAGAAAAGCAAGATCAAACCAAACCCACAATTAGAAAAAAAGAAATAATAAAGATCAGAGTAGAAATAAATGAAATTAAAGTGAAGAAAACAATACAAAAGATCAATGAAACAAAAAGTTGGCTTTTTGAAAAGATATACAAAATTGACAAAACTTTAGCCAGAACAATAAAAAAAAAAATGGAGAGGACGCAAATAAAATCAGAGATGAAAAAGGAGACATTACAACTGATACAGCAGAAATTTAAAGGATCATTAGTGGCTACTATGAACAACCATATGCCAATAAATTGGAAAATCTAGAGAAAAATGATACATTCCTAGACCCAGAGAACCTACCAAGATTAAACCATGAAGAAATTTAAAACCTGAACAGATCAGTAATGAGTAATGAGATAGAAGCTGTAATAAAAAGTCTCCCAGTAAAGAAAAGCCCAGGACCTGATGGATTCACTGCTGAATTCTACCAAATATTTAAAGTAAAATATGAATACTAGTCCTACTCAAACTACTCCAAAAAATAGAAGAGATAATACTTCAAAACTCATTCTATGAGGCCAGTATTACCCAGATACCAAAACTAAATTAAGATACATCAAAAAAAAAGAAAAAAGAAACCCTATAGGCAATATCTCTGATGAATATTGATGCAAAAATTTTCAACAAAATACTAGCAAACCGAATTCAATGAAACATTAACAAGGTCATTTACAGCCAGGTGTCATGATCACACCTGCAATCCCAGCACTTTGGGAGGCCAAGGTGGCTAGATTACTTGAGCTCAGGAGTTTGAGACCAGCCTGGGCAACATGGTGAGACCATGTCTCTACAAAAAGATACAAAAATTAGCCAGGCATGGTGACACATGCCTGTAGTCCTAGCTACTTGGGGGCTGAGGTGGGAGGATCATTTGAGTATGTGAGGCAGAGGTTGCAGTGAGCCATGTTCATGCCACTACCACTACAGCCTGAGCAACAAAGTAAAACCCTGTCTCAAAAAAAGAAAAGAAAAGAATTCATTATGAGCAAGTAAGATTTATCCCAGGGATGCAAAGATAGTTCAACATACACAAATCAATCAATGTGATACATTATATCAACAGAATGAAGGACAAAAACCGTATGATCATTTCAATTGATGCTAAAAAGGTATTTCATAAAGTTAAATATTCCTTCATGATAAAAACCCTTTAAAAACCAGGTATAGAAGAAAGATACCTCAACATGATAAAAGCCATATATGACAGAGCCACAGCTAGTTTCATACTGAGTGGGGAAAAATTGAAAGCCTTTCATCTTAGATCTGGAACATGACAAAGAGGTCCACATTCATTATTGCTGTTTAGCATAGTGCTGGAAGTCTTAGCTAGAGCAATCAGACAAGAGAAAGAACTAAAGGGCATCCAGATTGGAAAGGAAGAAGTCAAATCATCCTTTTTCGCAGATGATATGATCTTATATTTGGAAAAACCTATAGGCTCCACTAAAAAAACTATTAGAACTGATAAACAAATTCAGTAAAGTTGAGGAATATAAATTCAACATACAAAAATCAGTGGCATTTCTATATGCCAACAGTGAACACTCTAAAATAGAAATTTAAAAATTAATCGCATTGACAATAGGGATAAAATAAAACATCTAGGAATTAACTTAACCAAAGAAGTGAAAGTTCTCTACAATAAAAACTATAAAACATTGATGAAAGAAATTGAAGAAGACACCAAAAAAGTGAAAAGATATTCCATGTTCATGGATGGGAATAATTAAAATTGTTAAAATGTCTATACTCCCCAAAGCAATCTACAGATTCAATGCAATCCCTATCAAAACACCAATGACATTCTTCACAGTAAGAAAAAAAAATTCTAAAATTCATATGGAAGCACAAAAGACCCAGAATAACCAAAGCTATCCTCAGCAAAAAGAACAAAACCAGAAGAATCACATTACCTGACTCCAAATTAAACTGCAGAGCTATAGTAACCAAAACAACATGATACTGCCATAAAAACAGACCCATAACCAAAGGAACAAAATAGAGAACCTAGAAACAAATCTATGTACCTACAGTGAACCATCTTTGACAAAGTTGCCAAGCACATACAATGGAGAAAGGACAGTCTCTTCAATAAATGGTGCTGGGAAAACTGGATATCCGTATCCAGGAGAATAAAACTAGACCCCTATCTCTTACCATATACAAAAATCAAATCAAAATCATTTAAAGACTTAAATCTAAGGCCTCAAACTATGAAACTACTAAAATAAAACATTAAGAAAACTCTTCAGGACAATGGTCTGGGCAAAGATTTCTTCAGTAAATACTCCACAAGCACTGGCAACTAAAGCAAAAATAGACAAATGGGATCGCATCAAGTTAAAAAGCTTCTTCACAGGAAAGGAAACAATCAACAAAGTGAAGACACAACCCACAGAATCTGAGAAAATATTTGCAAACTACCCATCTGAGAAGGGATTAATAACCAGAATATTTAAGAAGCTCAAATGACTATATAGAAATAAATCTAATAATCTGATTGAAAATGGGCAAAAGATGTGAGTAGACATTTCTCAAAAGAAGACATACGAATAGCAAACAGACATATGAAAATGTGCTCAACATCACTGATCTTCTGAGAAATGCAAATCAAAACTACAATGAGATATTATCTCACCCCTGTTAAAATGGCTTATATCCAAGACAGGCAATAACACATGCTGGGGAGGATGCAGAGAAAAGGAGACTCTCATATGCCGTTGATGGGAATGTAAATTAGTACAATCACTCTGGAGAACAGTTTGGACCTTCCTCAAAAAACAAAAACTAGAGTTACCATATGATCCAGCAATCTCACTGCTGGGTATATACACCAAAAGGCAGGCAATCAGTATACCAAAGAGAGATTTAAGAACAAACATTGCAACACTGTTCACAATAGTCAAGATTTGGAAGCAAACTAAATGTCCATCAACAGATGAATGTATAAAGAAAATATCAAACATATACAAAATGGTATACTATTCACCCGTTAAAAAAATGAATGAGATCCTATTATTTGCAAAAACATTAATGAAACTGGAGTTCATTATGTTAAGTGAAATAAGTCAGGAATAGAAACACAAACATTTTATGTTTTCACTTACTTGTGGGATGTAAAAATCAAAACAGTTGAACACATACAGATATAAGTATGCTACCTGAGACTGGGAAGGGTGGTGGGGGGTCTGGAGGAGAGGTAGGGATGGTTAATGGGCACATTTTAAAAAGCTAGAAAGAATGAATAATACCTAGCATTTGATAGCACAACAGGGTGACTACAGTCAAAATAATTTAATTGTACATTTTTTAAAAACTAAAAGAGTATAACTGGATTGCTTAGAACATGAAGGATAAATGCTTGAGAAGATGAATACTCCATTTTCCATTATGTGATTATTACACATTGCATGCCTGTATCAAAACATCTCATGTACCTTATAAATATACATACCTCCCATGTACTCATAAAAATAAAAAAATAAAAAGACCAGGCTTTGGAACTCACCATCTTGAAAGGTTCTCTGTTCATCATCATCTGAGATGAGAATGGCTGAATGGAAAAGAAGAACTTCCATTAGGAGAGTTGAGGTTATTCCTGCCTGAGTCTTTCCCATAGCCTGAACCTAGACCAGGGAACTCCTTATATCAAAACCACTGGGATGCCTGTTAAATCTGACCACTGGCCTCACTCTGTGCCTTCTGAATCACTTTGAAAGGTGCCCTGGAACCTGCATTTAAATAAGCAATTTAGGTAATCACTTTGCCATCCAACTTTTGGAAATTACCTTGATAGAGTAAAGGAACTCAGCTCCCTTTGACCTTCACTAGGTAGAATTGCCTCTTGCTGCCCTTTTCTTACTGATCTGCCTTACTTACCACTCTCAATTTGGCATCTTCTTGGATGATTTCACATTCTGTGTAGAGAAATATGCTGAGGTCTGAAATTCACCTAACACTAGAGTGCAAGTGTTCAACAGGGGAAAGAGCCTATGAAGAAGACAAAAAGTTGTATAAGGGTTGAAAAGTGTGAACTGAATGAAGTTAGAGGAAAAGCTAGCCTCACAGCAGTGACTGCAAGTCATGTTCTGACTACTAGCGGGGAGAGTGGCGCTCCTCTATGTCAGACGCCTCACTGTAAAATGGAGATGAGATCTTCTCTCCCTAGCTGATGCAAGGAGTGGAGATACATGTCCAGCAATGTAACTGACACCAATTCATCTTCACCCTCTCCAGTTCATCAGGATCTTTCCCCTAGCTTGACAACGGGCTCAAGTCTTCACCATCTCATAAACCCCCTTCCCAAAGCTAAGTGTCCTCCTTTAGTTATCACCTCCTCCCACCTGTTGTCCCCTCACAGCCAACTTCCTTCAAGAATCAGCTACACACTGGGTCCTCACTTCCCCTCTTTGCATTCACACTTCAACCACTGTAGTTTATTCTCCAAAGAATCCACCTGGCTTCAGTCACCAACGAATATTGACCTGATTCTATCTGGATACTACCACATCATGTTCTGTAGGGTCTTCTTTTATCTGACCACATCATTTTCTGTTTGTTGTTGATGATGATGATATTTTGAAACTAGAGCTCCTTTTCTTTTCCTTCTATGTTAAAATCATCTTATCATTCACCATGACCTTTGATAGTGCCACCATCTCCTGTTGCCCTCAGCAGGACTCTCTGACCTCTCCTGAGAGTGGGAATCCCATTCTCACCCCTTCTCCTCATTAGAGAGCTGCTTTGGATATGGTCAGTCTTTCCAGAAGCCAGAGTCCTCTAACTGAAAGACTGGAGACAGTTCAGCCTCATTCTGTCTATGGCCACTGATGGGAGGTAACTGACATCAGGACACTCCCGTGACCATGTTGCAGTGAGGATACTATAGGCAGTAGAGTGTGAGAGTGAGTGTGGGAGAAGGAGGAGCTGAACTCGATCTGTATTAAAATGAGCTCTAGCTGGGACTCAGCATTTGGGAAGGGAGAAAACAAGGACTCTGAGAGCCAGTTGTGTTCCCAGCACTCACTGTCACACCTAGGTATGCAACTGACACAGATGCTTCTGCCCACATGGAGTCTAAACCCAAAGTGTGTGTGGTCAGGAACTGTGCATTTTGAGGCTGATGAAGGAGGGAAAGATGTAGATAAAATTCTGACTTATGTTCTTAGGACATCGTGTCTGCAGTTTTGTTTGTGATTGTGATGTTGTTACCTCATAGGACCTTAATGTGGGGTTATGGGTAACCTTGGGTAAGCCTCTGTGGCTGATGAGTTGCTGAGGGTACTTAAATGAATAAGGATGGTCAGGATTAGGGTTGGAATTTGCCCAGAGCTAACAACACTCCAAGATGAACAAGTTGGATTATTTTCCATGTACCAGACTGTCTGTATCTGTCAATAGCAGCATTTCACCCAGGCCATGCTTGGAGGTGCCTCTGTGTGGTGAGATGGGTGTGTGCCCTGGACAGTAAGAAATGTGCATGCTTCTCCTTGGATAGGCAGAGCATCAAAGGTTGCATACTATGGTTATTTTCCTCTCATTTCTCTCATAGGAGAAGCAGACACCCCCTCCACTGCCATCTGCCTTGCTGAGCTCCGCTGCTCCCACCTTTCTCCTTGATAACCAGCTGCTTTCTCTTATAAGCCATCACCATGCCTTTCTGAAGAGTCAGCGCCTTCTTCTTCACTCTGAGACTCTCTCCTTGGCCTTGACCCTGGGGAGAGAAACCAGACAATACAGTATTAAATGTATGTAATTTTAAAGGTCAGATGGCTCTAGAAAGCTCATTAGGAAAAACATCAGCATTCCCTGCTCTCATCCTCCCTACTGCTGACTTCTGATTTCCAATCACTGCTCTTTCTTCCTTATTTCATCCTGTGCTCATCTTCCCATTTTTCAATTTCATGTTGATATTGCAATGTTTTTATTTCTTTCCAGATTTAACTATTTATTCTCTCTTTTTGATTATGTTGAATTCGTTTTCCTTCTCTTTCATCATTCCTTATTTCCCTTCTCCCATCTTCCTAAAATATTAACATCCCCATGTTCAAGTTAATATTCACTGTTTATACTTGGGGAAAACTGCTTTTCCCCACTCCCGATCTTTCCTTTATCAGTTAATGTGATGTCCCTTTGCCTTGTCTGTCTCTTTACTCATTCTCTCCAGAGGAGATGGGGGACACATTTTTTTGAGACCTTGTACATCTAAAGACATTTTTATTGTACCTCTCACACTTGATTGATATTTTGACTGGCCATAGAATTCTTGGCTGGAATTCTCTGGAATATGACTTTATTTCCCTTTTAGAAATATTTATGGTTGTCTTTTTGAGGTAAGTGTTCTGAAAATTCACAGTTATGTTTTATGGGGTGGATCTATGTTGACTCAAGAAACCATGCCTTCAGTGGACACTTTCATTCTGGAAACACATTCTTTGGGTCTCAGAACCTTCCTTGTATTTCCTCCTGAAAGATTTTCCACATTGCATTATGTCTTTGTTCTCCCCTTCTGGAACTCGTATTATTCAGGAGTAGTTAAATCTCCTCGACTGATCCTCAAGTTTTGTTGTTTTAATTGAGACAGTGTCTCATTCTGTCACCCAGGCTGGAATGCAGTGGCACAATCATGGCTCACAACAGCCACAACTTCCCAGGCTCAAGCAATTCTCCCACCTCAGCCTCCCAAGTAGCTGGAACTACAGGTATGCACCACCGCACCTGGCTAATTTTTTGTTTATATTTTGTAGAGACAAGGTCTCACTATGTTGCCCAGGCTGGTGTTGAACTCCTGAGCTCAAGCAATCCACCTGCAAGAGCCTCCCAAAGTGCTAGGATTACAGGCATGAGCCACTGTGCCTAGCCTCCAAATTTTTTTAATGAATATTCTCCTGTCTTTTTGCTTACTTTTTCCTGGAAATTTCTTCGATTTTGCTTTTTGACCCTTCTATTTAAGAAAAAGAATAATAAATTTCTACTACTCTATTTTTAATTTCTAAGAGCTATAAATATCCTTTTTGCAAAGCATTATTCTTCCATGAAAATAAAATATTATCTCTTAAAGAGGATCAAGTATTTCTTACCTTCCTATGTTGTTTTTGTTTCCTCTAATTTCCTAACTTCAAAGTGTTTTTGTTTTGGGTTTTAGGCTTTCCTCAAGTGTCTGTGATTTTTTTTTTCTGTTTTGTTAACGAGTGAAGCATGAAAGCTGTTAAATGTGCATAGGCAGGGCATGTTGAGTAGATGTTTCACTTTGGGGCAACCAGGCAGGGATTAAACTATCTCTTTGGGGTCTCCAGTGGTTGGGGTTTTTTTAGTTATTTCTTTTGTACTGGTTAATTTTCTTAGGAAATAATTCTTCAATCTCCCGCCTAGGCTGTGTGTTGTAGGGGTAGAAAGGGTAGAGATGTGATGCCTGGAGCTGAATGGGGAAAGGGGCTCAATGTCCCCACTCTCAATGAGGACTTGCACTTATTTTCCTTTTCCATTATGGCTTCTCACTCCCACCCTTCACTGTAACTAGTCTTCCTAAATCTAGAACCCACAGGGAATAAGTTTTCCAGAAGGTCTTCTGCCAGAGTGGGTGAGGGTAGGTGCCTGGCTATGCAGAGGTGGGAAGGGATTTGGGCTCTGAGTGTTCCTTATAAAAATTCTCTGAAGTGATTATTACACATCGTATGGCTGTATCAAAATATCTCATGTACCCCATGAATGTATACATCTACCATATTCCCACACACATTTTTTAAAAAATTAAAAAGATTTCCAGTCGATATTCTTACTTGCAGTCCCACCTATCTTCAGAGGTAGCTAGTGCCTCCGATTCCTGAACCTTTTGGGGGTTCTTGTTTCTAGACTTTCTTCCCTGCTGCAGGTGGGGGTCCACTATTCCTGCTTTCCAGGGTCTGTTACCATTTGTCCACTTTTTAGCAGTAACTCATTGGCATTGGGAAACTTAGTACACATATCGGGTTTCTTCTTTAGTTTTTAAAGCTCTTAAGTAAAGACAAATTACACAGACATATTGTAAAAGCACATTATAACACATATAAACTTTATAAGCCCTTGACCCATACTTAATCTGAATAGTTGATAAATGAATTTATTTATATTAAAAAATATTATACTTGGTTATTGTGAATGACTCATGTCAGTCACATGTGCTTGAAGATACTCTGATCTCACTCCTTGAAATATTTCTTATCAGGTTACCTTAGAGTTTAAAGTACTTTAACAACCGGGGTTTGGTATTAGTGGTCCCTCATTTCTTCCAGCCATAAAACTAGACTGTATATAACACAGTGGCCACTCATTTGAATTCTGCAGAATTTATCATTTACCCAAAGCAAAACACAATACTAAATAATTAAATATATTTCTGATTTTGTCAATACTGTATGACCCCGTATAGTAAAACACTGTAACGGAGGATATTAGAATATACTCTCAGATCAGAAGTCAGGATACATCAACATGTAAGAAGGGGGAAATAATGACTCCATCCCTTGTAATCCCTGGAAATAGAGTCCAGAGCCCCCTAGGAAATGAAGCTTGGCTGCCAGGACTGGCTGTATTTTTTTGAATTTCAATCCCACTTCAGGACAACTTTATACCTTGCCATAGGTAATCCAAAGAGCAATTTTCCCTAAAATATTCACACTACTGCTATCGTACAGCACAGTATTGTTGATCAGTTCAACAGCCTCTGTCACCACGTACAGGTTGTCCCCTCTCCTCCGGCACTCCTTCAGAAATGATGGCTCTGGATCCAACAGTTTCCTGGGGATTTAAGGAAGGAGGACAAGAGTCAGAGTGGGAAAGTGATGGCTTTTCAGGTTACTCTGGGTGCCCTTCTCCCCAAGACCTGGGAGGGGTGCAATGGCTTTGGACCCTGACAGGTAAGTCACCAATGGGTGGTAGGGCAGCAGAATGTTTTATCTGACATACAGGATAGAGGAGATCCCAATGATGGTGGTTCGGGTGTGAGAGTATATGTACCATATTGTTAAAGGCATCTGCATTTTACTAAATTATACTGGTCCTGTTAAGGGGTAACTTATAGAATTTTAGCACTAGGGTCTCTCAGAAAAAAAAGGGCTAGAAGCAGACAGGTCCAGATGATTGAGAACAGTCTTTAGGAGGTCCTGTTGTCAAAGCTGGGTATTCACACCGAACGTGTCAATTAGCACAATCAGGGTGGGCTGGGGAGCAGACAGATAAAGTGGAATGAAGCGAGAAGACTCTGCATGATTTCATGACCGTTACGGATTTACTGTCCTTGGTGGGTGGATTGGTAGGGCTGACTTGATGATGTAGTTTCCAGGGATATATGAATGGTTTGAAGTACTGAAGGTAGATTTCATTTCTATTTCAGTTCTTTCTGAAGTTCAACCTTGATTCTACTCAAGGCACCCATGGAGTCAGTGTCCTAGATAACAGTCATGTGGAATATTGAGGGATTCTTAATTGGCTTTTCAGTAGAGAAGGTTACTGCGCACACAATATTAGGTTTTGTCATTGCTGTCTTCTTACCATGTCCTTAGATGCTATGTTATGTGACATCTACTTATCTTCCAAGCATCATGTTTTATCTCCTTTATCTTGGTTGTCTAAGCTTCCAACTCACTGACCTTGCCCCTTATCCTGAAAACACCAAGCTCGGTGTTTCACCCTTCATTAGAAGGGTAAGAGTAAGAGTTTTACTTTGGCAGCATCACCCCTCCCCCAGGCGCCACCGCAACATGAATGGAGTTCCCCTGGGCCAATGAGCTCTTCAACGGGAAAAAGAGAGCCAAAGTAGATATCCAGCTTCAAACAGCGTTCCAAAGCGCATCCTAGGAGGTCCAGCTCTGTCCCATGTCACAGAGAACATTGAGGGCATCGGCAGGACTAGACCACCTGCGGTCACCTAGAAGCAAAGAAGTGGTCAAGGCTTCAGCAATCACTGCATGGATCTTGGCAGTGACACTACATTCCTACTAGCAGTGGCACCCAATCAGAGAGACCAGCCAGCAACTTGCCTGCCTGCAGACCCAAGCCAACAAATTTGTCTGGCCAGGAAGTATGGTAGGCAGTTTCTGTCTGGCTTGCATCCTTAACCAGTGGTATAGCCTCCCTGTGGAGGTCAGCCTCAGAGCCCAACCTAAGTTCCTTGTGAGACAGGAAAGCCAGCCAGCAACCCTGCCTAACTGTGGAGCACAGCCTCTGGCCCCAACTGACCAAGGATCCTCCACAACAACTCTGCCCAGCCTCAGGGCCAAGCCTAAGACTTTGCCCAAATAGGGAGGCCAGCCAGCAACCACACCTAACTGCAGAGCACAGCCTCTGGCCTGGCCTGACCAGGAAGTCCAAACAGTGACCCTTTCCAAATTCAGAGCCCAGCCCCAGGCCCCACTCAAGCAGAAAGTAAAGCTGGTGACTCTGCCTAACTGTGGAGCATAACCTGTTACCCTGCCTCATGAAGGAGCCTGATCAAGAACCCAACACAGCCTTGAAGCTCTGCCTGCAACCACACAGAGCTACACATGTGGGCTCTGTGGGACACAGGCTACAAACCCAGCCAATCTGGGAGTTCATGGTGACCCTGACTGACCATGGAGCAAACTGAGTAGCCCTACCTGGATCAAGTTCCCAGCCAGTGACCCAGCACAAACACACAGTTCAGCCTGTGTCCCTACCCAAACACGGAGCCCAGCCTGTGGCCTGCCCAACTACAAAGCACAGCCTGAGACCACCACCAATTACAAAACCTAGTCAGTGGCTCCATCTGAATATGGCATTCAGCCAGCATCACACCCAGTCAGGGAGCACTTCATGGGCCCCTACCCAACCAGGGAAAATTTCAGAGCCCAGCCTAAAGCCCTGCCCAATTATATACCCTGAACAACAGTACCACAAGGAGCACAGGCTGCAACAACATCTGACAAGAGGTGATTGTGGGGTCCAGCCAGTGGTCCTACTTGACCACAAAGCCAGTCAAAATCCCCACCCTATGAAGGAGCCCAGCCAGTAGCCCCGCCTGAATGCAGAGCCCAGCCAACAGCTCATCCTGATCATAGAACCCAGCCAGTGATCCAGCCCGACCATGGAGCACAGCCAGCAGTTCCACCTCAGAGTACGGGTAGTGGCCGCATCAACTAGAGAGTGTGAGCAGCAAGCCACACTTATTCATGAACACTAACAGCCAATCCATCTAGAACCAAAGGTTGGACTGACTGGTGAAGGTCTATCTCTACTGATATGAACCTGTTAAGGCTAGAAGAGGTGGCTGCTGCCTCAAAAGCACAAAAAGAAATGCAAGATACAAGGATTATGAGGTATTAGGAAAATGTTATACCAACAAAGGAAACTAATAAAGCTCCAATGACTGACTCTAAAGAAATGGGAGATCTATAAACAAACTGACAAAGAATTCAGAAGTTCAATGAACTACAAGAAAATACAGATAGACAACTAAACAAAATTAAGAAAACGATACACAAAATTAGTTCCACAAAGAAATAGAAACCATTTTTTAAAAATCCTGCAGATAAAGAATACAGTAACTAAACTGAAAAAAGTTTAGGAAAGTTTCAACAGCAGATTCAATCAAGCAAAAGGAAGAATTAGTGGACTCAAAGACAATTTGAAATTAACCAGTCAAAGGGATAAAAAGAAAACAGAATGCAGAGTGAAAAGAGATATATGGCACTTATGGGACACCATCAAGTGAAACAAAAAAATATTCTCCAGAAACATAAGAGAGTGAGAAAGAGATAAAAAGCTTATTTGTAGAAATAATGACAGCCAGGGCCAGTGGCTCATACCTATAATCCCAGCACTTTGGGAGACCAAGGTTGGAGGATCACTTGTGTCCAGGAGTTCAAAACCAGTCTGAGAATAATATTGAGACCACATCTCTCCAAAAAATAAAAATTTAAGCAGGTTGGTGGCACACACCTGTAGTCCTAGCTACTCAGGAAGCTGAGGTGGGAGGATCACTTCAGCCCAGGAGGTAGAGGCTGCAGTGAGCCAGGATCTTGCCACTGCACTCCAGCCTGAGTGACAGGGCAAGACCCTGTCACAAAGGAAAGGAGAGGAGAGGAGAGGAGAGGAGAGGAGAGGAAAAAATGGAAACTCCCAAATTTTGAGAGAGAAGTGGGCATCAAAATTTGTGACACTAAAAATTTCCCAAATAGGTCGAACCCAAAAGGGTCTACACCAAGACACGTTATAATTAAATTATCAAAAGTCAAAGATAAAGAGAAAATATTGAGAGTAACAAGAGAAAAGCTACTCATTACATACAGGGGAGTATCTAAGAGACAATCGCAAATTGCTTAGGAGAAATCTGGCTAAGAAAGGATGATATATTCAAGATACTGAAAGAAAAAAACTGTCTTAGTCTGTTTTCTGTTGCTATAAGAGAATATGACAGACTGGCTAAATTATATATAACTGAAGTTTATTTGGCTCATGATTTTGGAGGCTGGGAAGTCCTCAGAGCATGGCACCAGTATTTGGTGAATGTCATCTCATGGAAGATGGTGAAAAGCAGAAGCAAACACATGAGACAAAGAGAATACAAGGGCTGAACTTCACCCTTTTGTCAAGAGCCCACTCCCACAAAAACTACCCAACTCCCACGATAATGATATTAATCCATTCATGAGGGCAGAGCACTTATGGCCCAATCACCTCTTAAAAGCCCCACCTCTTAATACTGTTACAATGGCAACTAAATTTCATTAGGAGTTTTGGAGGGGACATTCAAACCACAGAAACTGCCAAACAAGAATAAAAAACTCAGTTGTCCTTCAGAGATAAAAGAGAGATAAAGACTTTCCCAAACAAAAGCTGAGGAAGTTCACCACTAGATCTGCCTTACAAGAAATGCAAAAGGGAGTTCTTCAAGTTGAAATGAAAATATGTTAATTAACAACGTAAAACACATGAATGTGTAAAATTCATCAGTAAAGGAAAATATATAATCAGAGTCAGAATTCTGTAATATTCTAAATGTGGTATATAAATGATTTTCAACTCTGGTATAAAAATGTTTTACGTATATTAAAAATAACTCTATAATAATTTCTTATTAGATATACAATATAAAAATATGTGAATCTTAATATCAATAACCTAAAATATCAATGAGGGGAAGAAGTAAAGCTATAATGCTTTTTATGCAATCAAAATTAAGCTGAAGGCCAGGCTCATGCCTCATATTATAGACTCATGCCTATAATCTCAGCACTTTGGGAGTCCAAGGCAGGCAGACTACTTGAGGCCAGGAGTTCAAGACCAGCCTGACTAATATGGCAAAACCCTGTCTCTACTAAAAATACAAAAAATTTACCAGTTGTGGTGGCACACACCTATAGTCCCATGTACTTGGGAGGCTGAGGCATGAGAATTGCTTAAACCTAGGAGGCAGAGGTTGCAGTTAGCTGAGACTGTACCACTGCACTCCAGCCTAGGCAACAGAGTAAGACTGTCTCAAAAATGTCCCAAATAGGTTGAAACCCTCAAAAAAATTAATCCCCCCAAAATTAAGTTGTTATCAGCATAAAATAGGATATTATAACTATAAGATATTTTATGTAAGCCTCATTGTAACTACAAAGGAAAAACCTGTATTAGATATGCAAAAGATTAAGAGAAAGGAATCAATCATACTACCACAAAAAGTAATCAAATCACAAAGGAAGATGGCAGGTGAGAAAGAAGGAAAGAAAAAAACTATAAAAGTCATAAAACAATTAAAATGACAATAGCAAGTACTTACCTATCAATAATTATATTAAATGTAAACAGATTAAATTTTCCAAACTAAAGACAGAGTGGATAATATATATAAGAAAGCAAGATCCAATGACCTGCTGCCTAAAAGAGATTCATGTTAGCTTTAAGGACACACAGGCTGAAAGGAAAGAGATGGAAAAAGAAATTCTAATGCACAAGATGACCAAAAAAGAACAAGGGTGGCCATACTTACACAGACACACACGCAGACACATTTTTTTATATATATATGTATATGTATATATTTATATATATACATATATGTCAGATAAAATGGACTTAAGTCAAAACTGTAACAAGATAGAAGAATGCCATTATATAATGATACTACTATAAATATGCACCAAACATCAGAGCACATAAATATATAAATCAAATATTAACGTAACTGAAAGGAGAAATAAACAGCAATACAATATTAGTAAGAGACTTTAATACCCACTCTTACTAATGGCCACGTCCCCCAGAAAAAAAAAATCAATGCAGAAATATAAGACTTGAAAAACATTATAAACCAAATGAACCTAACAGACATATACAGAACATTCCATCTAACAGCAGCGGAATACAAATTCTTCTCCAGAGCACATGGAACATTCTCCAAAATAGATCATATGTTAGGCCACAAAACAAGTCTTAACAAATTTAAGAAGACAGAAATTATTTCAAGTATCTTTTCCAATAACAATGGCACAAAACTAGAAACAATAACAAGGAATTTCAGAAAATTCACAAATATGTGGAAATTAAATTGAACAACCAGTGGGTCAAAGAAGAAATCAAAAGGGAATTCAAAAAATATCTGAGACAAACAAAAATGAAAACACAACATATCAAAACTTATGGGATACAACAAAAGCAGTTCTAATTTAAGAAGACAGAAATTATTTCAAGTATCTTTTCCAATAACAATGGCACAAAACTAGAAATCATAACAAGGAATTTCAGAAAATTCACAAATATGTGGAAACTAAACTGAACAACCAGTGGGTCAAAGAAGAAATCAAAAGGGAATTCAAAAAATATCTGAGACAAACAAAAGTGAAAACACAACATACCAAAACTTATGGGATACAACAAAAGCAGTTCTAAGAGGAAAGTTTATAAACACCTACATTAAGAAAATAGAAAGAATTCAAATCAACAACCTAACTTTATACCTTAAAGAACTAGAAAAGAAGAACAGGCCAGGCGCAGTGGCTCACACCTGTAATCCCAGCACTTTAGGAGGCCAAGGCGGGCAGATCACGAGGTCAGGAGATCGAGACCATCCTGGCTAACACGGTGAAACTCCGTCTCTACTAAAAATACAAAAAATTCGGGCATGGTGGCAGGCGCCTGTAGTCCCAGCTGCTCGGGAGGCTTAGGCAGGAGAATGGCATGAACCCGGGAGGCGGAGCATGCAGTGAGCGGAGATCGCGCCACTGCACTCCAGCCTGGGCGACAGAGCGAGACTCCGTCTCAAAAAAAAAAAAAAAAAAAGATTAGAGCAGAATAAATTAAATGGAAAATAGAAAAACAATAGAAAAGAAAAGGTAATAAAACTGAGGGGTTTTTTGAAAAAAATTAAAAATTGACAAACCCTTAGCTAGACAAACCAAGAAAGAAGAACTCCAACAAATAAAATTATAGTTAAAAGGAGACATTACAAATGATGCCACAGAAATAAAAAAGATCATGAGAGCCTATTATCTGTAATTAAATACCGACAAACTGGGGTAGATAAGAGAAATGGATAAATTCCCAGAAACATATGATCTATTGAGATTGAGTCATGAAGAAATAGAAAATATAAACATATCATTCACAAGTAAGGTGATTAAATCAGTAATCAAAAAAGCTCCGAAAAAACATGCCCATGACCAAATGCTTTCACTGGTGAATTCTGCTAAACATTTAAAGAAGGTTAATATCAATCCTGCTCAAACCAAAAAATTGAAGAGGAAAGAATAATTCAAACTCATTGTGCAAGGCCAGCATTACTCTAATACCAAAGCCAGATAAGGACATTACAAGAAAAGAAAATTACAGGCCAATATATCTGATAAACATAGATGCACAAGTCCTTAACAAAATTTTAGCAAACCAAATTTAACAGCACATTAAAAGGAACATACACCACAAACAAGTGGAATTTATACCTGGAATGAAAGGATAGTTCAACATTTGCAAATCAATAAATATAATACACCATATTAACATAATCGAGGACAAAAACCATATGTTCATCTCAGTAGATGCAGAAAAAGCATTTGATGAAATTCATCATCCTTTCATGATAAAACTCTCAGCAAATTAGATATAGAAGAAATGTACCTTAACATAATGAAGGCTATACATGGTCATAATAAAGTCCACAGCTAACATTATGCTCAATGTTGAAAAGCTGAAAGCTTTTCCTTTAAAATAAGGAACAAAACAAGAATGTCCACCCTCACCACTCTATTCAGTATGGCACTGGAAATGCTTGCCAGTGAAATTAGGGAAAAATAAATTAATAAAAGGAGCCTAATAGGAAAGAAAGAAGTAAAATTGCCTGTTTACAGATGACACTATCTTATACATCGAAAATCCTAAAAACTTCATTTAAAAAATGTTAGAATTAATAAATAAATGCAGTCAAGTTGCTGGATACAAAATCAACATTAAAAATCAGTTGTATTTCTATAAATTAACAATGAACTATCTTTAAAACTCAATGTATAGGCCGGGCATGGTGGCTCTCACCTGTAATTCCAGCTCTTTGGGAGGCTGAGGCGGGTGGATCACCTGAGGTCAGGAGTTCGAGACCAGCCTGGCCAATATGGCAAAACCCCATCTCTACTAAAAATAGAAAACATTAGCTGGGCATTGTGGTGGGTGCCTGTAATCCCAGCTACTTGGGAGGCTGAGGCAGGAGAATTGCTTGAACCTGGGAGGCAGAGGTTGCAGTGAGCCGAGATCACGCCATTGTACTCCAGCCTGGGAGACAGAGTGAGACTCTGTCTCAAAAAAAAAAAAAAAAAGTCCGTTTATAATAGCATCAAAAATAATAAAATACTTGTGAATACATTTCACCAAGGAGGCGAAAGATCTATATACTGAAAAACTACAAAATTCATGAAAGAAATTAAAGAAGACAAAAATAAACAGCAAAATATTTGTGCTCATGGATAAGAAGAATTAATATTATTAAAATGTCATACTACTCAAAGCAATTTACAGATTCAATGCAATTCTTATCAAAATGCCAATGACAATCTTCACAGAAATAGAAAAAATAATCTTAAAACTCTTATGGAAAGACCCAGAATAGCTAAAGCAATCTCAAGAAAGAACAAAGCTAGACACCCTATACTTCCTGATTTCAAAGTATATTACAAAGCTATAGAAGTTAAAACTTATGGCACTTGCATAAAAACAGACATATAAACTAGTGGAATCAAGTAGAGGGCCAAGAAATAAACTCATATGTGTATGATCAACTAATATCTGACAAGCGTGACAAGAAAAGACAGTGAGATAAAGGATAGTGTCTTCAAAAAATGGTGTTGAGAATACTGGATACTCACATGCAAAAGACTGAAACTAGGTCCTTACTTTATACACAAAGATCAACTCAAAGTAGATTAGAAACCTGAATATAAGACCTGGAACCTTAAAACATTTTTAGAAGAAAATACAGGGGGAAAGTTCCTCAAGATTGGTTATGGCAACAATTTGTTTGATATGACACCAAAAGCAACAGCAGCAAAAAAAAAAAAAGAAAAGAAAAGAAAAAATAAGTGTTACTCTAGCAAACTAAAAAGTTTCTGAACAGCAAAGGAAACAATCAACAGAGTGAAAATGCAACCTACAGAATGGTCAAAAATATTTGAAAACCATATGCCTGATAAAGGGTTAATATCTAAAATATATAAGGAACTCATACGGCTAAATTGCAAAATCAAAAACAAAAACAAAAATCTTGATTTAGAAAATGGGCAAAGGACCTAAATAGATATTTTCTCCAAAAAAAGACATAGAAATAAGCTAACAGGCACATGAAATTGTGCTCAAAATTACTTATCAGGGACGTACAAATCAAAACCACAATGAGACATAATTTCGCATCTGTTTGGATGGCTTTTAACAAAAAGATCAGTGTTGGCAAAGATGTGAATTAAAGGAAATCCTTGTATGCTATTAGTGGGAATGTAATTGATATAGCCATATGGAAAACAGTATGTTGGTTCTTCAAAAAACTAAAACTAGAACTACCATATGATCCAGCAATCTCATTTCTAGGTATACAGCCAATGAAAATTAATCAGTAGCTCAAAGACATGTCTGCACTTCCATGTTCATTGCAGCATTATTCACAGAAACCAAGACACCAAAACAACCTAAGTGCCTGTCAACAGATGAATGGAAAAAGAAATTGTGGTATGTGTATACGACGGAATATTATTCAGCCATAAAAAAGGAAGAAACCCTGTATTTGCAACAACATGGATAAACCTTGATGGCATTATGCTAAATAAAAGTCAAACAGAGAAATACAAATACTGTATAATCTCACATATATGTGGAACCTAAAAAAGTCAAACTTATAGAAACAAAATAAAATGGTGGTTAGCAGGGGTTAGGAAGTCAGGGAAATGGGGCACATTGGTCAAAGGCAACACAGACTATAATTAACAATACTACATTGTGTATCTGAAATTTGCCAAGAGAGTAGATATTAAACGTTCTCACCACAAAAAAAATGATAACTAGGTAAAGTAATAGATATGTTAACTGACTTTATTGTGGTCTTTTCACAATATATACATACATCAAATCATCACATTGTACACCTTAAATTCACACAATTTTATTTGTCAATTATATCTCAATACAGCTGAAAAAAATAAAAATAAATCCCAAGACAGCAATGTACATGTTATTTAAATAAACAGTTTTAAAGTCTTTGTCTCACTTAAATTAACACTTTGTTAATTTATTTTTTATTGCTTATTTTCTTACTCCCTGCCCATCCCTTGTCTCCACTAAATGTAAGCTGCTTTATGACAGGTGTTTACATCTGTCTTGTTTTCATTGTATCCCCAACATATAACAACATAGTAGTGGGTAGTTACTGCTCTAATAAGTATTTGTTAGGTAACTAACAGCTATTACTTGAGTAAAGGGAGGTATGAATACTCAAGAAGAGTAGCAAAATCTGGGCTGTCATCATCTTGATTTTCATCCCTACAACAAGACTTGCTAGATGTATTTTTGTGTTCAAGGAAAACACCCCCTGGGATACTGATGATCCATCCCCTTCCTCTCCCATGGCCTCACCTTTTTTGAAAGTCTTCCAGGTTTGGTGATGGGATGGTAACAATTTGAAACTCGAGGGAGCATCCATGGTCCACAGAGGCCTCCCCTGACACACTCACTTCTATACCAACATTCACACCCATGTCAGCCTTATGCTTCTGGATCATAATGTCACTGAAGTGGAACGGTCCTGTCACAACAGTTTCTGGGGAAAGAAAAGACGACCATAGGTTTAGCCAAGAATTCATTCAAGAATTCAAAGGTTTAGCCAAGAACAGCTGGTGTGCAAAATGAAATAACAAAGACCTATTTTGCCCCAATCCTCCCACTCACTTAAACTCTGTTGAAAACTAATCCATTAATGTTTGAATGTAAATTACTACAGATGGAAAATATTCAAATATTTAAATGGGCATTGTGTGACAGAGATAAAATCTGCACCCTGAGAAATAGTGGTGTCAAATGTACAGTGTCCAGAAGACCCCTGGGATCATCCTTTCAGGCACACTGTCTCCTCTGCAGCAGGCACAGCACCCAGCAGCAGAGGGCAGCACACAGGGGCAGAAAATGTTTGGGATGTGGAGCCAGACAGACCTGGGTTTGGATCCCAGTTCTACTAGTTCCCAGGGACATAACTGTTTTTTTGTTTGGTTTTTGCTGTTGTTGTTGTTGTTGTTGTTTTTGTTGTTGTTGTTGTTTTGAGACAGTCTCACTCTGTCATCCAGGCTGGAGTGCATTGGTGCAATCCCAGCTCACTGCAACCTCCGCCTTCTGGGCTCAAGCAATTATTGAGCCTCAGCCTCCCGAGTAGCTGGGACTACAAGAGTGCACCACCCATGCCTGGATAATTTTTTTTTTTTTGTATTTTTAATAGAGACAGGGTTTCAGCATGTTGGCCAGACTGGTCTCGAACTCCTGGCCTCAAGTGATCTGCCCGCCTCGGTCTCCCAAAGCACTGGGATTATAGGCATGAGCCACAGTGCCCAGCCCCCAGGTACATAACTTTGAACAGATAATTTTATAACCTTCTATTTACTCTTATGTAAAATGGGGATAATATCCTCACCTCATGAGCCTGATACAAATATTAAATGACCTAATGAATGCCTACATCCAGATAATTGGTAGGATTCTCAATTTGTCTTCGTTTCTTGCCCCTTGCCTATAGGCAAGGCTAATCCTGAGAGCTCCTTTCTGTGTGCTCAGTTATCTTTGGATGGTGGGCCATCTTTTTCTGACCACACATGTTTTTCACCCCTCACCTCCTTGGCCTCTGGCTGACAATACCTAGGACTGAAGAACTTGGCTCCAGGATGTCATTGAGGGAGAATTCAACTGGAACATAGTCAGATTGTTCCCAAAATGATGAACGAGAATCCTTCTTCTTTCGTAATATAACAAACTGACGTAATTTGGTGGCACTCAATAGGTATTTGACAGGTGTCAGGTCTTTGCTTCCAATCTCTTTGACCAAATTTTTGCTAATGCGTTCCAACATGGAGGGCATGTTGCTAGGAGGAGATGAAAGGAGAGCATCAGTTGGGAGAGGAAGAAAATGGTTAAACTCTCACCAATTATTGATATTTCCCCTAAAGGAAAAGATCTACATATGAGATTAGCAGGTCTTTACTTAAAATAGTGACTAGATTATAACTTTCTCAACTTTGAGTTCATTTTTTTGTTGTTTTTGAGACAGGGTCTTGCCATGTTGCCCAGACTGGTCTTGAACTCTTGGGCTCAAGTGATTCTCCGCCTCAGCCTACCTAGCATCTGGGATTATAGGCACACACCATCACACCTGGCTTCCAACTTTGGAATTCTTAAGACAATTTGGGCTTCTGACAGGCACTGCTGTAAAATTCATTGCCCCTTATTGTTGGAGTAGGAAAGCCTGGGTATCTCCTCACCTCTAACCCAGGGATACTGTAAATAACAGGAAGAAGGAAGGGCTCAATACTGTCATCAACTAAAGGGCCAGAGGGAAGGCGGGGCTTATGTTAAGATGATATGAGTAGTGGTAGAGAACATGTTGGTGTTTGCAGTTTTACAGTGAAAGCCACACTGAGAAGTGACATTTGAACAATAATGTAGAGGAGGCAGGGCATAAACAATGAACATTATGTGGAGAAAAGAATTCCAGGTACAGAAATCAGCAAGTGCAAAGATTTGGAAGCAATGGATGCCTGGAATATGTGAGGTGGAAAGGAAAGAAGATGAGGTCAGAAGAAAGTGAGGGCAAGTTGGTGAAGGCCCAAGATTGCAGTGTTGGATGCATATATGTCTTCTTCATTCAATAAATGGTGCTGGGATACCTGGCTAGCCATAAGCAGAAGAGTGAAAATGGACCATTTCCTTACACCATATTCAAAAATCAACTCAAGACGAATAAAAGACTGAAATGTAAAACCCGAAACTATAAAAATAAAACACTAGAAGACAATCTAGGCAATACCATTCTGGACATAGGAACTGGCAAAGATTTCATGATGATGCCAAAAGCAATTGCAATAAAAGCAAAAATTGATAAATGAGATCTAATTAAACTTAAGAGCTTCTGCACAGCAAAAGAAGCTATGAACAGAGTGAACAGGTAACCTACAGAATGGGAGAAAATTTTTGCAAACTACGAATCTGACAAAGGTCTAATATCCAGCATCTATAAGGAACTTGAGCCAATTTACAAGAAAAAAAAAAAAACATTAAGAAGTGGGCAAACGACATGAAGAGGCAGCTTTCAAAAGAAGACATACATGTGGCCAACAATCGTATAAAAAAAAAAGCTCAACACCACTGATCATTAGAGAAACACAAATCAAAACCACAATGAGATATCATCTCACACAAGTCTGAATAGCTATTATTAAAAAGTCAAAAAATAACAGATGCTGGCAAGGTTGTGGAGAAAAAGGAATGCTTATACACTGTTGATGGGAATGTAAATTAGTTCAACCACTGTGAAAAACAGTTTGGTGATTCCTCAAAGTCCTAAAGACAGAAATACCATCTGACCCAGCAAGCTCATTACTGGGTATATACCCAAAGGAACAGATATCATTTTATAATAAAGACACATGCATGCATATGTTCATTGCAGCACTATTCACAATAGCAAAGACATGGAATAAACCTAAATGCCCATCAACTATGGACTAGATAAAGAAAACGCGGTACATATACCTCATGGAATACTATGTAGCCAAAAAAAGAACAAGATCAAGAACAGCTCCCAATGGAGCTGGCAGCCATTACACTTAGTAAACTAACACAGAAATAGAAAACCAAATACCACATGTTTTCACTTATAAGTGGGAGCTAAATGATGAGAACACATAGACTCATGGAGGGGACCAACACACACTGGGGCCTACTGGAAGGTAGAGCATGGAGGGTGGGAGGAGGGAGATGATCAGGAAAAATAACGAATGGTTACTAGGCTTAATAACTGGGTGATAAAATAATTTATGCAACAAACTCCCATGGCACAAGTTTACCTACATAACAAACCTACACATGTACCCCTGAACTTAAAATAAAAGTATAAAAAAGAAAATATATATATAATTAAAAAAAAGAAAGAAAATGTAAGTCACCAGTCCAGGAAGCCTATAAGGAAAATTATTTTTAAATTCTGTAATAAAATGTAATTTTGAATTTAAAAACAGACGATTCAGGAAAACATCACCTTACCAAATGGACTAAGTAAGGCACCAGGGACCAATCCCAGAGAGACAGAAATATGTAATCATTCAAACAAAGAATTCAAAATAGCTGTTTTGAGGACACTCAAAGGAATTCAAGATAACACATAAAAGGAACTCAGAATTCTATCAGATAAATTTTTTAAGGAAATTGAAATAATTAAAAAGAAGCAGAAATTCTGGAGTTGAAAAATACATTGACCTACAGAAGAATGCATCAGCATCTCTTAATAACAGAATTGATCAAACAGAAGGAAGAATCAGTGATCTTGAAAGCAGGCTATTTGAAAATATACAGTCAAAGGAGACAAAAGAAAAAAGAATGAAGCATGCTACAAGATGTAGAAAATAGCCTCAAAAGGGCAATAGAAAATAGCCTCAAAAGGGCAAATCTAGGAGTTACTGGCCTTAAAGAGAAGATTGAGAAACAGATAGGTGTAGAAAGTTTATGCAAAGGGAGAACTTCCCAAAGCTAGAGTAAGATACCAATATTCAAGTACAAGGTACAAGAAGATAATAGAACACCCAGCAGATTTAAGCCAAAGAAGACTACCTCAGGCATTTGATAATCAAACTCCCAAATATCAAGTATAAAGTAAGAATCCTAAAGTGGCAAAAGAAAAGAAAAAATAACAAACAATAAAATTCCAATACGTCTAGTAGCAGACTTTTCACTGGAAACCTTACAGGCCAAGAGACAGTGGCATGACATATTTAATGTGCTGAAGGGAAAAAAACTTTTACCCTAGAATAATATATCTGGCAAAAAAAATATGCTTCAAGGATGAAGGAGAAATAAAGACCTTCCCAAACAAAAACTGAGAGATTTCATCAACACCAAACCTGTCTTACGAGAAATACTAAAGGGAGTTGTTCTATCTGAAAGAAAATGATGTTAATGAGCAAGAAGAAATCATCTGAAGGTACAAAACTCAATGGTAGTAGGAAGCACACAGAAAAACACAGAATATTATAACACTGTAATTGTGGTGTGTAAACTACTCTTACCTTAAGTAGAAAGGCCAAACGATAAACCAATCAAAAGCAACTACAACTTTCAAGACATAGTACCACAGGACATAAAGACAAACAACAAACAGATAAAAAGCAGAAGACAAAGTTAGAATGTAGAGTTTTTATTAGTTTTCTGTTTGTGTTTGTTTGTTTATGCAATCACTGTTGTCATCTATTTAAAATAATGAGTTTTAAGATAGCATTTGCAAGCCTCATAGTAATTTCAAATCTAAAAACATACAATGAATAAGCAAAAAATGAAAAGCAAGAAATTGAAATATACCATCAGTGAAGATTACCTTCACTAAAAGGAAGAAGAAAAAGAAGAAACAGAAGATCACAAAACAACCAGAAAACAAAAAATAAAATACCAAAAGTACTCACTTATTAGTAATAACATTAAATGTAAATGAACTAAACTGTCCAATCTAAAGACATAGAGTGGTTGAATTAATTAAAAAAACAAGACCCAATGATCTGTTACCTACAAGAAACACACTTCTCCTATAAAGATAAACATGGAATAAAAACACAGGAATGGAAAATATATTCGTGTCAATGAAAACCAAAAAAGAGCAGGAATAGCTATACTTGTATCAGACAAAATAGATTTAGATTCAGATTAGAGCTAAAGAGATAGACCCCAATGCAATAATAGCTAGAGACTTCAGGCGAGACGCGATGGCTCACGCCTGTAATCCCAGCATTTTTGGAGGCCGAGACGGGCAGATCACGAGGTCAGGAGATCGAGACCGTCCTGGCTAACACGGTGAAACCCTGTCTCTATTAAAAACACAAAAAAATTAGCCAGGCGTGGTGGTGGGCACCTGTAGTCCCAGTTACTCAGGAGGCTGAGGCAGGAGAATGGCGTGAACCCAGGAGGTGGAGCTTGCAGTGGGCCGAGCGGAGATCGCGCCACTGCACTCCAGCCTGGGTGACAGAGCGAGACTCCATCTCAAAAAAAAAAAAAAAATAGCTAGAGACTTCAACATCTCACTTTCAGCATTGGACAGATCTCCCAGACAGAAAATCAACAAGGAAACTTTGGACTCAGTCTGTACTATAGAACAAATGAACCTAATAGGTATTTACAGAACATTTTATCCAATGGATGCAGAATACACATTTTTCTCCTCATCACATGGATCATTCTCAAGCGTAGACCATATTTTAGGTCACAGAACCAGTCTTAAAACACTCAAAAAGTTGAAATAATATAACGTATCTTCTCTGAACAAAATGGAATAAAACTATAAATCAATAACGAGAGCAATTTTAGAAATTATACAAACACATGGAAATTAAACAATATGCTCCTGAATGACCAATGGGTCAATGAAGAAATTGATGAGGAAATTGAAACATTTCTTGACACAAATGATAATGCAAACATACCAAAACCCATGGGATACAGCAAAAGCAGTACAAAGAGGGAAATTTATAGCTATAAGTGTCTACATCAAAACAGAAGAAAAACTTCAAATAAATAACCTAATGATGCATTTTAAAGAACTAGAAAACCAAGAGCAGCCCAAACCCAAAATTAGTAGAAAATAATAAACAATAATGATCAGAGCAGAAATAAATGAAGTTAAAATTAAGAAAACAATACAAAAGATGAATGAAATGAAAGTTGCTTTGTTGAAAAGATAAACAAAATAGACAAATCTTTAGCCAGACTAAGAAAAAAGAGAGAAGGCCCAAATAAATAAAATCACAGATGAAAAAGAAAACATTACAACTGATATTGCAGGAATTCAAAGGATTATTGGCAGCTACTATGAGCAACTATACACCAATAAATTGGAAAATCTAGAGGAAATGGATAAATTCCCAGAAACATACAACCTACCAAGATTGAACCTTGAAGAAATCCAAAACCTGTACAGATCAATAACAAGTAATGAGATCAAGGCTGTAATAAAAAGTCTCCCAGTAAATAAAAGCCTGGGACCCAGTGAATTCAATGCTGAATTCTACCAAACATTTAAAGAAGAACTAATACCAATCCTATTCAAACTATGTTTAAAAATAGACAAAGAGGGGATACTTCCAAACTCATTCTATGAGGCCAATATTACCCTAATAAAAAACAAGACAAAGAAACTTAAAAAAAAAAAACTACAAGCCAATATTTCTGATGAATATTGATGGAAACATCCTCGACAAAATACTAGGAAACCAAATTCAACAATACATTAAAAATATCATTTATCATGACCAAGTGGGATTTATCCCAGGGATGCAAGGATGGTACAACACGCACAAATCAATCAATGTGATACATTATAGCAAGAAAATGAAAGACAAAAACCACGTGATCATTTCCATTAATGCTGAAAAAGCACTTGATAAAACTCAATATCCCTTGATGATAAAACCCCTCAAAAAACTGGGTATAGAAGGAAGATAACTCAACATAATAAAAAGCCATATATTACAGACTCACTCAATGGGGGAAAAGAGAAAAACATAAAGGGCATCCAAATTGGAAAGGAAGAAGTCAAATTGTCCTTGTTTGTGGATGATGTGGTCTTATATATGGAACAAACTGAAGATTCCAACAACAAAAAACTATTAGAAGTTATAAATTTATTAAAGTTGCAGGATACAAAATCAACATCCAAAAATCAGTAGCACTTCTATATGCCAACAGAGAAGAATCTGAAAAAGAAATCAAGAAAGTAATTCCATTTACAAGAGCTACAAATAAAATTAAATTCTTAGGAATTAATTTAACTGAAGAAGTAAAAAATCTCTTCAATGAAAACTATAAAACATTGATGAAAGAAACTGAAGAGGACACAAAAAATGGAAAGATATTCCATGTTCATAGATTGGAAGAATCAATATTGTTAAAATGTCCATACTATCCAAAGCAATCTTCAGATTCTATGCAAATTATATCAAAATATCAATGACATTCTTCACAGAAAGAGAAAAAACAATCCTAAAATTTATATGGAAACACAAAAGACCCAGAATAACAAAATCTATCCTGAGCAAAAAGAGCAAAACTCAAGGAATCATATTATCTGACATCAAATTATACTACAGAGCTACAGTAACCAAAACAGCATGGTACTGGCATGAAAACAGACACACAGACCAAAGGAAAAAAATCGAGAACCCAGAAACAAATCCATATACCTACAGTGAGCTCATTTTTTACCAAGGTGCCAAGAACATACATTAGAGAAAGGACAGTCTCTTCAATAAATGGTGCTGGGAAACCTGGATATTCATATGCAGGAGACTGAAACTAGACCACTCTCTCTCATCATGTACAAAAATAAAATCAAAATAGATTATAGACTTCAATGTAAAGCCTCAAACTGTGAAACTACTACAGGAAAACACTGGGGAAACTCTCCAGGACATTGGTCTAGGCAAAAATTTCTTAAGTAATACACCACCAGCACAGGCAACCAAAGCAAAAATAGACAAATTGGATCTCATCAAGTTACAAAGCTTCCCTCCAGCAAAGGAAAAGATCAACAACAGAAAAAGAGAACCCACAGAATGGGAGAAAATATTTGCAAACTTCCCATCTGATAAGGGAATAATAACCAGAAAATATAAGGAGCCCACACAACTCTATAGGAAAAAAATCTAATAATCAGATTAAAATATGGGCAAAAGAGTTGAATAAACATTTCTCAGAGGAATACATACAAATGAAAAAAAGGCATATGAAAAGGTCCTCAACATTATTAGTTATCAGAAAAATGTAAATCAAAACTACAATGAGATATCATCTCACCCCTGTTAAAATGGCTTATATCTAAAAGACAAGTAATAAAAAATGCTGGAGAGAAGGTAGAGAAAAGGGAAACTTGTACCCTGTTTGTGGGAATGTAAATTAGTACAGCCACTATGGAGAACAGTTTGGACCTTCCTCAAAAAGCTAAAAATAGAGCTGCCATACAACCCAGCAACCTCTCTGCTGGGTGTACACCCAAAAGAAAGAAAACCAGTATATTGAAGAGATATCTTCACTCCCATGTTTGTTGCAGCACTGTTCACAATAGCCAAGATTGGGAAGCAATGCAAGTGTCCATCAACAAATGAACAGGTAAACAAAATGTGGTACATATACATAACAGAGTACTACTCAGCCATAAAAAAGAATGAGATTGGCTGGGTGCGGTGGCTCATGCCTGTAATCCCAGCACTTTGGGAGGCTGAGGCGGGTGGATCAACTGAGGTCAGGAGTTCAAGACCAGCCTGACCAACATGGAGAAACCCCGCTCTACTAAAAATACAAAATTAGCCAGGCATGGTAGCGCATGACTGTAATCCCAGCTACTTGGGAGGCTGAGGCAGGAGAATCACTTGAACCCAGGAGGCGGAGGTTGCAGTGAGTCGAGATTGCACTGTTGCACTCCAGCCTGGGCAACAAGAGCAAAACTCCGTGTCAAAAAAAAATGAGATCCTGTCATTCGCAACAACATAGAGGGGACTAGAGGTCATTAAGTGAAATAAGCCAGGCACAGAAAGACAAACTTTACAATGTTCTCACTTATTTATGAAAGCTAAAAATTAAGACAATTGAAGTTATGGAGATAGAGTAAAATGATGGTTACCAGAGGCTGGGAAAGATATTAGGGGGTGGGAGGGAGGTGGGGATGGTAAATGAGCACAAAAAAAATAGTTAGACTGAATAAGATCTAGTATTTCTGAATAAGATCTAGTATTCGATAGCACAACAGGGTGACTATAGTCAATAATTGTACAGTTAGAAATAACTAAAACAGTATAATTGTATTGTTACAATTAAGAGTATAATTGTATTGTTACAATTATAACAAATAGGAATAGGACTTCCTAACTACATGGAATTCAGTTTTTGAACTTTCTAAATATGTTCAATAATGAAGAGAGACAGAATTTTCAACAGTTCATGTAAAATTCCTGATGTGACCATTTCAATTCTCTGATATGGGCCATGTAAGAGGTCACTGGACAAGCAGAGAATAATGAGAATATAAGATGCTTCTTTAAGACTGGACCTGTGCAATAATGTATCGAAGATATATTCCTTAGCCTTACATGCTATCAGGAATTCTCCATTATTAAGACGAACTTAACTTCCTTTTCAGTCAAATTCTGTAGGAAAAAAAACTCTTCGACTCATTTCACAAACCCATCCAGAACATTTTTGTCGCTGATGATAGTAATCTTTTCTTTTTCATCCCCTGATCCCATTAGGACTTACCAGATTATATATCCCTTTGTCCTGTAGAGAAATAGCAGGATTGGCCGGGCACGGTGGCTCACGTCTGTAATCCCAGCACTTTGGGAGGCTGAGGCCGGTGGATCACGAGGTCAGGAGTTCAAGATCAGCCAGGCCAAGATGGTGAAACCCTGTCTCTACTGAAAATACAAAAATTAGCCAGGAATGGTGGCAGGCACCTGTAATCCCAGCTACTTGGGAGGCTGAGGCAGAGAACTGCTTGAACCCGGGAGGCAGAGGTTGCAGTGAGCTGAGACCATGCCGCTGCACTCCAGCCTGGGCAACTCCGTCTCAAAAAAAAAAAAAAGAGAGAAAAATAGCACAATTGAGTAGGGCCCCTTCCAATCTTCAGACCTCCTGCGGTCAAGTAGAAATTGTCAGACAAACTCCAGGACCAGATCAATGTGATTCTGTTCACTGTTCTCTTCTCACCAATGGGTCCCTGACTCAATTTCCAATGCAGTATCCTGGAAAAATAAGCACAGGAGGGCCCTGTTCATTTCCAGAAGAGTAAGTCTGGAACTAGTTCTGGATCACAGAACCTTAGCTCTCAAGTCCTCAGCAAAAAGTCTGTGGAACAAAATCAAGTGGCATCTAATTATGTATCTCCTGAATCAGAATTAAAAAGGCTTCCTCAGAGTCACACCCATTTCCTTTCACATACAGAACTAGCTGAGCAAGTCTTTGATTCATGGATTCCCAGCAACTCTAGCTGGAACAACTTCTTTGGCTCGTATTCCTCTGGTATATGTGCTGAATTTAGAATTCAATCACTGGACACCAGGAAAGGCAACTTCAGCAGGAGGGACAGGCACTAGCGCCAGGGCCCTGGGAAGCACCTCTGAACTGCCTACATGTGGGGCTCTGTACAACAGGAATTACTGTGCTTAATGCCTCCTCTGTGTTAAGCACCATGCATGTATTATCTAAATCCAATCTTACAACAATCTTTATTTTAAATATAAATAAAAAGGGGATTTGTGAAAGGAATTAAAAACTTGCCTGAAACCCATGTCCTTTCCAATTACTCCCTATGGGTTTCAAGATGAAGTAAAGTGCCTATAGGAGCAGAAACTGTATAAACAGGATTGCTACACCTTTAAGTTTTGAGTAACTTCCTGGAACTGACACTCAATACAGCAACATTCCTTTCAGCTGACAGTATTTCACAATGCATTTACTTTACTTTTGTTTTCTTTTAATATTCATAAAAGTCTTATGCCTTCCCTTTCCACTGTAAGAACCTGATATGCACTTCACTTGGGACAAAGCTCAGACTGTGCTTTCTGCATATCACCACCAGACACGATGTTCCAAATTAACTTTCACGTTCTATAATTTCCATTGTAAAAACTATAGACTTGAAATATAAAATTATAATTACATACATAACCCTTCTGTGTACCAACATTCTATAGGCCCCAACCTGCTATTGGGTATTCCAGAAGTCGGAGAAAAGTAACTTAGCTGTTTGGGAACAGTTATGTGAGTCACACCAACCTAAATAACAGATAAAGAAAAGCTCTCTAAAAGACAGTGATATTTATTCAAGAATGAGCATTGCAATGGGAATATGCGTGCCATCACAAACTATGTGTGTATTCAGACAGGTAAGGGAAGAAAAAAGTTTTAAAAAGAAAAATAAGAAGGATTACACAATTGTTTTGAATCAATTCTTTGCTTACAAGGATCAGTAACAAAGGTGGCACCAGTCCAAGGTTAGACAGGCAGTTGGTGGACAGATGTCCTGGCAGAAGTATTTTTTGTTTAAGGTTGCAATAGCCTTTGTGCAAAGCTGTAGTTTTTAGTTTTGTTTTGTCTTTAATTTTTATGGGTACATAGATGTATATATTTATTTATGGGATATATGGGATATTTTAATACAGGCATACAATGTATAATAATCACACCAGGGTAAATGAGGTATCTATCATCTCAGATATTTATTTTTTGTGTTAAAATATTATACTCTTTTAGTTATTTTTAAATGTACAATTAAATTATTATTGACTATAGTCAATAATATATTGTGCTATCAGACATTAGATCTTATTCCTTCTAAATCTTTTTGTACTCATTAACCATTCCCCCTACCCCTGCACACCCACCCCACTACCCTTCCTAGCGTCTGGTAACCATCATTCTATTCTCTATCTCCGTAAGTTCAGTTGTTTTAATTTTTAGCTTTCACAAATAAGAGAGAACATGTAAAGTTTGTCTTTCTGTGCTTGGCTTATTTCACTTAACATAATGACCTCCAGTTCCATCTATGTTGTTGCAAATGACAGGATCTCATTCTTTTTATGGCTGAATAGTACTCCATTATGTATACGTACCATTTTTTTTATTCATTCATTTGTTGATGGACACTTGGATTGCTTCTAAATCTTGGCTATTGTGAGTGGAACTGCAATAAACATGGGAGTGCAGATATCTCTTCAATATATTGATTTCCTATTTTGGAGGTATATACTTAACAGTGGGTTTGCTGGATCATACGATAGTTCTATTTTCAGTTTTTCTGAGGAAGGCCCAAACTGTTCTCCATAGTAGTTGTACTAATTTACATTCCCACAAACAGTGTCCAAGGGTCCCCTTTTCTCCACATCCTCTCCAGCCTGTTATTGCCTGTCTTTTGGGTAAAATCCATTTTAACAGATGTGAGATGATATCTCATTGTAGTTTTGAATGGTGTTTCTCTGATGATCAATAATGTCGAGCACATTTTCATATGCGTGTTTGCCATTTGTATGTCGTCTTTCAAGAAATGTCTATTTAGAACTTTTGCCCATATTTTAATTAGTTTATTAGATTTTTTCCTGTATAATTGTTTGAGCTCCTTGTGTGTTCTGCTTACAAATCCTTTGTCAGATGCTTAGTTTGCAAATATTTTCTCCCATTCTTTGGGTTTTCTTCTTCTGTTGTTGATTGTTCTTTGCTGGAAGGAAGCTTTTTACTTTGATATGGTTGCATTTGTCCATTTTTGTTTTGGCTGCCTGTGCTTGTGGGGTATTACTCAAGAAATGTTTGCCCATTCCAATGTCCTGGAGAGTTTCCCCAATGTTTTATTGTAGTAGTTTCATAATTTGAGTCCTTAGATTCAATTATTTAATCTATTTTAATTTAGTTCTTGTATATAGTGAGAGATAAGGGTCTAGTTTCAGTCTTCTACGTGTGGATATCTAGTTTTTGCAACACCATTTATTGAAGAGACTGTCTTTTCCCCAATGTATAGTCTTGGCACCTTTGTAAAAAATGAGTTCACTGTAGGTGTATGGATTTGTTTCTGGGTTCTCTATTCTTTTTTCATTGGTCTATGTGTCTGTTTTTATGACTATACCATGCTCTTTTGGTTACTATAGCTCTGTAGTATAATTTGAAGTCAAGTAATGTGATTCCTTGAGTTGTGTTCTTTTTGTTCAGGATAGTTTTGGTTATTCTGGGCCTTTTGTGTTTCCATATAAATTTTAGGATTGATTTTTCTCTTTCTGTGAAGGATGTCATTGGTAGTTTGATAGAGATTGTATAGAATCTGAAGATTGCTTTGGGTAGTATAGACATTTTAACAATATTGATTCTTCCAATCTATGAACATGGAATATCTTTCCATTTTTTGTGTCCTCTTCAGTTTCTTTCATCAATGTTTTATAGTTTTCATTGAAGAGATTTTTCACTTCTTCAGTTAAATTAATTCCTAAGAATTTAATTTCATTTGTAGCTCTTGTAAATGGGATTACTTTCTTGATTTCTTTTTCAGATTCTTCTCTGTTGGCATATAGAAGTGCTACTGATTTTTGGATGTTGATTTTTTATCTGGCAACTTTAATTTATTTATCACTTCTAATAGTGTTTTATGTTGGAATCTTTAGGTTTTTCCATATATAAGACCACATCATCCACAAACAAGGATAATTTGACTTTTCCTTTCCAATTTGGTTGCCCTTTACTTTTTTCTCTTGTCTAATTGCTCTAGCTAGGAGTTCCAGTAGTATGTTGAATAACAGTGGTAAAAGTGTACATCCTTCTTGTGTTCTTGATCTTAGAGAAAAGGCTTTCAGTTTTTCCCCATTCAGTATAATACTAGGTATGAGTCTGTAGTATATGGCTTTTATTGTGTTGAAGTACATTTCTTCTACATCCAGTTTTTTAGAATTTTTATCATGAAGGGATATTGAACTTATTTATTCAAATGGTTTTTCAATACCAATTGAAATGATTATGTGGTTTTTGTCCTTTATTCTATTGATATGATGTATCACATTGATTGATTTGTGTACGTTGAACCATCCTTACATCCCTAGGATAAATCCCACTTGGTCTTGATGAATGATCTTTTTAAGGTGTTATTGAATTCAGTTTGCTCATGTTTTGTTGATGTTTCCATCAATATTCATCAAAGCTGTTGGCTTGTAGTTTTTTTTTTTTTTTTTGATGAATCTTTGTCTGATTTTGGTATCAGGGTATTACTGGCCTCATAGAATAGGTTTCGACATATTCCCACCTCCTCTATTTTTTGAAATAGTTTGAAAGAATTAATATTAATTTGAAAAAAAAATCAGGAGGGAAGTTGATGGGTCCTGGGCTTTTGTTGCTGAGAGACTTTTTATTATAGCTTTGATCACATTACTTATTATTGGCCTACTCAAGTTTTGGGTTTCTTCCTGGTTCAATCTTGCTAGGTTGTATGTGTCTAGGAATGTATCAATTGCCTCTAGGTTTTCCAACTTATTGGCATATAGTTGCTCATAGTAGCCTCTAATGATCCTTTGAATTTCTGTGGTATCAGCTGTAATGTCTCATTTTTTATCTCCGATTTCATTTATTTGGGTCTTCTCTCTCTTTTTTTAGTTAGTCTGGGTAAAAATGGGTCAATTTTGGCAGGTGTGGTGGCTCACACCTGTAGTCCCAGCACTTTGGGAGGCCAAGACTGGCAGATCACTTGAGGTCAGGAGTTTGAGACCAGCCTGGCCAACATGGTGAAACCCCCTCTCCACTAAAAATACAAAAATTAGCCAGGTGTGGTAGCATGTACCTGTAATCCCAGCTACTCAGGAGGCTGAGGTAGGACAATTGCTTGAACCTAGGAGGCAGAGGTTGCAGTGAGCCAAGATCACACCACTGCACTTCAGCCTGGGCAACAGAGCAAGACTCCATCTCAAAAAATATTAATTATAATAATAGGAAATGGGTCAATTTTATCTTCTTAAAAAAAGACTTTTCATTTTTTAATCTTTTGTGTTGTTTTCTTCTTTTCAATATAATTTCTTTCCAATTTGATCTTTAATATTTCATTTCTTCTACTAATTTTGGGTTGGGTTTACTCTAGCTTTTCTAGTTCTTTAAGATGTATCATTAGGTAGTTTATCTAAAGTTTCACTTCTTTTTTGATGTAGGCCCTTATAGCTATACATTTTTCCCTTATTACTTCTTTTACCATATCCTATAGATTTGGGTATATTGTGTTTCCATTATCATTCGTTTCAAAAAAATTTTCAATTTCCTTCTTAATCTCTTTATTGACTCACTAGTCATTCAGGAGCACATTGTTTAATTTCCATGGGTTTGTATAGTTTCCAAAATTCTTCTTGTTATGGATTTCTAGTTCTATTCCATTGTGGTCAGAGAAGATACTTCATATTATTTCAACTTCTTTTAATGGTTTACAACTTGTTTTGTGACCTAACATATGGTCTTTTCTTGAGAATGAGCCATTTGATGAGGAGAAAAATGTGTATTCTGCAGCCACTGAATGATAGGTATTCTGTAAATACCTATTAGGTTCATTTGTTCTATATTGCAGATGAAGTCCAATGTTTCTTTCTTGGGTTTCTGTCTAGGAAATCTGTCCAATACTAAAAGTCGTGGGTTGAAGTCTCCAGCTGTTATTGTACTAGGGTCTAACTCTCTCTTTGCTGCTAATATTTCCTTTACATATCAGGGTACTCCCATGTTGAGTGCATATATATTTGGAATTGTTTTATCTCCCTGGTGAACTGACCCCTTTGTCATTGTATGCTGGCCTTATTTGTCTCTTGATATAGTATGTGTCTTGAAATCTATTTTGTCTGATATAGGATAGCTATTCCTGCTCTTTTTTGGTTTCCATTGACATGGTATATCTTTTTCCATCCTTTATTTTCCCTCTAGGTGTGTCTTTATAGGTGAATTGTGTTTCCTGAAGGCAACAGATCATTGGTGCTTGGTTTTTTGTTTTTTGGGGGTTTTTTGTTTGTTTTTTGTTGTTGTTGTTGTTGTTGTTGTTGTTGTTGTTGTTGTTGTTGTTTTGAGACAGAGTCTCACTCTGTTGCCCAGGCTGGAGTGCAGTGGTGTGATCTCAGCTCACTGCAACCTCCACCTCCTGGGTTCAAGTGATTTTCCTACCTCAGCCTCCCAAGTAGCTGGGATTACAGGCTTGCACCACCACACCCGGCTAATTTTTGTATTTGTAGTAGAGACAGGGTTTCACCATGTTGGCCAGGCTAGCCTCAAACTCCTGACCTCAAGTGATCCACCCACCTCAGCCTCCCAAAGTGCTTGGATTACAGGTGTAAGCCACCATGCCCAGCCTTTTTGTTGCTGTTGTTTGGTTTTTTAATCCATTCAGCTAATCTACATCTTCTCACTGAGGAGTTTAGACCATTTACACTCAGTGTTATTAGTGATAAATAAAGACTTACTCATGCCATTTTGTTATTTGTTTTCTGCTTGTTTTGTGAAATTCTGTTCCTTCTTTCCTTCCTTCCTCTCTTATTTTTAGTGAAGGTGATTTTCTCTGGTAGTATGTTTTAGTTTCTTGCTTTTTTTTTTTTTTTTTTGAATATCCATTGTATGTTTTTAGATTTGAAGTTACCCTGAGGCTTCCAAATACTATCTAACAACCCATTATTTTAAACTGATGACAACACTGATTGCATAAACAAGCAAAAATAAAACTAATAAAAACTATACACTTTAACTTTGTCTCCCCACTTTTTAACTTTTTTGTGTCTGTTTATGTCCTATTGTACTCTATCTTGAAAAGTTGTAGTAATTTTTAATCAGTTCATCTTTTGTTTTCCTACTTAAGATATGAATAGTTTACACACCACAATTACAGTTATAATATTCTGTGTTTTTATGTGTACTTAATATTACCATTGAGTTTTGTACCTTCAGATAATTTCTTCTTGCTCATTAACATCTTTTTCTTTTAGATTGAAGAACTCTCTTTAATTTTTCTTGTAGGACAGGTCTGGTGTTGATGAAATCCCTCAGCTTTTGTTTGTCTGGGAAAGTTTTCATTTCTCCTTCATCCTTGAAGGATATTTTTGCTGGATATACTATTCTAGGGTGAAAGTTTTTTCCTTCAGCACTTTTAATATGTCATGTCACTCTCTACTGGCCCGTAAGGTTTCCAGTGAAAAGTCTGCTGCCAGATGTATTGGAGCGCCATTGTATGTTTTTTTGTTTTGTTTTGTTTTCTTTTCTTTTCTCTTGCTGCTTTAGCTTTGCTTTCTTTATACTTGACCTTTGGGAGTTTGATTATGAGATGACTTAAGGTACTCTTTTTTGGATTAAATCTGCTAAGTTTTATATAACTTTCTTGTACATGAATATTGTTACCCTTCCTAGATCTGGGAAGTTCTCTGATATCCCTTTGAGTTTGTTTTTTTTTTTATTTCCATAGTTTTTGGGGAACAGGTGGTGTTTGGTTACATGAATAAATTCTTTAGTGGTGGTTTCTGAAATTTAGTAGTGATTTCTGAAATTTTGGTGCACCCAAAAGCAACTGCTGTTGCTTTAAAGTTTGTTTTGTCTAATATAAGAATAGCTACTTCTGCTTGCTTTTGCTGTTCATTTACATTGAATATCTTTTTTGACCACTTTACCTTAAGTTTACGTGAGTCCTTATGTGTTGAGTCTCTTGACACCTGAGCAGTGTACACTGTACCCAATGTGTACTCTTTGGCTCCACACCCCCTCCCACCCTTCTATATTAATTTGTTTAGAATTATTTAATTTTCATGCATTTGCATGGTTTTGAGGGTTCCTTTTGGAGCGGATTTCCAATTTTATTCCCCTGTGGTCTGAGCAAGTACTCAAGTACTTGATATAATTTTGATTTTTCTTAAATGTATTGAGACTTGTTTTGTGGCCTATCACAGGGTCTATCTTGGAGAATGTTCCATGTGTTGATGAATAGAATGTATATTCTGCAGTGTTGGCTAAAATGTTCTGTAAATATCTGTAAAGTCCATTTGTTCTAGGGTATAGTTTAAGTCCATTGTTTCTTTGTTGACTTTCTGTCTTGATGACCTGTCTAGTGCTGTCAGTGGAGTATTGAAGTCCCCCACTATTATTGTATTGCTGTCTATCTCATTTCTTAGGTCTAGTGGTAATTGTTTTATATATTTGGAAGCTCCAGTGTTAGATGCATATATATTTAAGACTGTGATAACTTCCTGTTGGACTAGTTCTTTTATCATTATATAATGTCCCTCTTTGTCTTTTTTAACTGCTATTGCTTTAAAGTTTGTTTTGTCTGATATAAGAATAGCTACTCCTGCTTGCTTTTGCTGTTCATTTGCATGGAATATCTTTTTCCACCCCTTTACCTTGAGTTTATGTGAGTCCTTATGTGTTAGGTGAGTCCTTATGTGTTAGGTTGAAGACAGCAGATATTTGGTTGGTGAATTCTTATCTATCTGCCATTCCGTAGTTTTTAAGTGAAGCATTTAGTCCATTTATATTCAACGTTAGTATTGAGATGTGAGGTACTGTTCTATTCCTCATGCTAGTTTTTGACTGAATACCTCTTTTCTTCATTGTGTTATTGTTTTATAGGTCCTATGAGATTTATGCTTTAAGGAGGTTCTATTTCGGTATATTTGGAGGATTTGTTTCAAGATTTAGGGCTGCTTTTAGCTGTTCTTATAGTGCTGGCTTGGTAGTGGTGAGTTCTCTCAGCATTTGTTTGTCTGGAAAAGACTATCTTTCCTTCATTTATGAAGCTTAGTTTCATGGAATATAAAACTCTTGGCTGGGCCAGGTACGTGGCTCACCCCTGTAATCCCAGCACTTTGGGAGGCTGAGGCAGGAGGATCACCTGAGGTCAAGAGCTTGAGACCAGCCTGGCCAACATGGCAAAACCCCATCTCTACTAAAAATACAAAAATTAGCTAAGCATGATGGTGCGTGCCTGTAATCCCAGCTACTCGGGAGGCTGAGGCAGGAGAATCGCTTGAACCCAGGAGGTGGCAGTTGCAGTGAGCCAAGATCACACCACTGCATTCCAATCTGGGCAACAGAGTGAGACTCTGTCTCAAAAAAAAAAAAAAAAGAAAAGAAAAGGGAAAAAAAAGAAACTCTTGGCTGATAATTGTTTTGTTTAAGGAGGCTGAAGATAGGACCCCAATCCATTCTAGCTTGTAGGGTTTCTGCTGAGAAATCTGCTGTTAATCTGATAGGCTTTCCTTTATAGGTAACCTGATGCTTTTGCCTCACAGCTTTTAAGTTTCTTTCTTTCATCTTGATTTTAGATAACCTGAAGAATAGGTGCCTAGGTGATGATCTTTTTGCAATGAATTTCCTGGGTGTTCTTTGAGCTTGTTGTATTTAGATGTCTAGATCTCTAGAAAGGCCAGAGAAGTTTTTTCAATTATTCCCTCAAATAAGTTTCCCAAACTTTTAGATTTTTCTTCTTCCTCAGGAACACCAATTATTCTTAGGTTTGGTCACTTAACGTAATCCTAAACTTCTTGGAGGCTTTGTTCTTTTTTTTTTATTCTTTTTTCTTTGTCTTTATTGAATTGGGTTCATTTGAAAGCCTTGTCTTCAAGCTCTGAAGTTCTTCCTTCTACTTGTTTGATTCTATTGTTGAAACTTTCCAGTGTATTTTGCATTTTTCTAAGTGTGTTTTTCATTTCCAGAAGTCGTGCTTCTTTTTTATGCTATCTAGTTCTCTGGAGTTTTTTAATCCATACCCTGTAAAACTTTTTAATTTCTTTTTTTTTTTTTTTTTTTTTTGAGATGGAGTTTTGGAGTTTCACTCTTTTTGCCCAGGCTGGAGTGCAATGGCATAATCTCGACTCACTGCAATTTCTGTCCCCCAGGTACAAGCAATTCTCCTGTCTCAGCCTCCCAAGTAGCTCAAATTACATGCACAAGCCACCACGCCCAGCTAAATTTTTTGTATTAAGTAGAGACAGGGTTTCACCATGTTAGGCTGGTTGCAAACTCCTGATCTCAGGTGCTCCACCCACCTCGGCCTCCCAGAGTGTTGGGAATGCACATGTGTGCCACCATGCTTGGCCTTTTTAATTTCTTTAAGTTGGCTTTCACCTTTCTCTGGTGCCTCCTTGAGCAGCTTAACAATCAACCTTCTGAATTTCTTTTCTGGCAATTCGGAGATATCTTCTTGGTTTGGATTCATTGCTGATGAGCTCATGTGACCTTTTGGTGGTGGTAAAGATCCTTGTTTTGTCATATTACTAGAACTGTTTTTCTAGGACTATATCAGAGGAAAGATCTGAGGCTCAAGGGCTGCTGTTCAGATTCTTTTGTCCCATAGAGTGATACTTTGATTTGGTGCTCTCCTTCTTCCCCTAGGGATGGGGCTTCTTAAGAGCCAGACTGCAGTGATTGTTATTGCTCTTCTGGGTCTAGCCACCTAATGGAGCTACCAGGCTCTGGGCTGGTACTGGGGAGTGTGCACAAAGAATACTGGGATGTGATTTGTCTTTAGGTCTCTCAGCCATGGGTACCAGCACCTGCTCTGGTGGAGGTAACAGGGGTGTGAAGTGAACTCTGTGAGGGTCCTTGGTCATAGTTTTTTTAGTGTGCTGGTTTTCTCAAATGGCAGTTGTGCTAGAAGTGAAGCTGTCACATGGACAGACTCAGGACGTGTGGTTATCCAGGATGTTGCAGGCAGTGGAATTAGGTGTTGTTTTCTCCTTTCTTGGAGCAGCAGTTTTCTTTTATGAGTTGCTCTAAAGGCTTGAGTTGCTTGACCACCAGCAGGGAGGTGGTGCTTTTAAAAGAGCATCAACTGTGGTAGTATAGCAGGGATACAAGCCTGTCTGGATAAGTATTCGGGTTTCTCATTGAATGAGTAGAGCCATAGAGCTTCCAAGAGATTATATCTTTTGTCTTTGGCTCCCAGGGCAGGTAGAGAAAGACCATCAGTTGGGGGCGGGGTTAAGCATGTCTGAGTTCAGACTCTCCTTGGGCAGGACTTGCTGCAGCCACTGTGGGGTTGGTGGTTCTCAGGCCAATGAGGTTATGTTCCCAGGGGGATTATGGCTGCCTCTGCTGCATCATACAAGCCACCAGGGAAGTGGGGGAAACCCAGCCATGATGGGCCTCAGCCAGCTCTCATGCAGCCAGCAAGGCCAGTCTCACTCTTACCATGCCCCAACAAATCACCAGGTTTATATCCAGGCAGTCAGTGTGCAGGGCTGAGTTCTTGCCCCAGGCTACAAGCCTTCCTGCTGAGAAAGCAAGTAGGGCTTTCAGGCTTCACCCCTACCCACATGCCATGGCTTCTGTGCTCAAATCTGCACTTCCTGTTTGCTCCCCACCCCCGGATTTTACCCTGGAAAATTCATGTTCAGCCAAAATTATTACAAAGTTCAGCTGGAAGTTTCCTTTACCCTGTGGTTCTTCCACAATTCCACTGGCAGCCCTCCCCAAGGACCCTTGTGAGATAAAGTCTTACATGGCCAGAGCAGTGGGAAGAGAGAGAAGGGGGAGGTGCCACACACTTATAAACAACCAAATCTCATAACTCACTCACTAACATGAGAACAGCAAGGGGAAAATCTACCCCCATGACCCAATTACCTCCCACAAGGCCCCTCCTCCAATGCTGGGAATAACAATTAGACATGAGATTTGGGCAGGGACACAAATCCAAACCATATCATTCTGTCCTTGATGCCTCCCAAATCTCATATCCTTCTCACATTGCAAAATACAATCCTCCCTTCTCAACAATCCCCCAAGTCTTAACTCATTTCACCATTAACTCAGAAGTCCATAGTCCAAAGTCTCATCCGAGACAAGGCAAATCCCTTCCACCTATGAGCCAATGAAATAAAAAGCAGGTTATTTACTTCCAAGATAAAATGGGGGTGCAGGCATTGGCTAAATACTCCCATTACAAAAGGTAGAAATTGACCAGAACAAAGAGGCTAAAGGCCCCCATGCAAGACCAAAACCCAGCAGGGCAGTCATTAAATCTTAAAGCTCCAAAAGAATCTCCTTTGACTCCATGTCTGTAATTCAAGCCACACTGATGCAAGGGGTGGGCTCCCAAGGCCTTGGGCAGCTCTGCCCCTGTGGCTCTGCACGGTACAGCTCCCATGGCTGCTTTCATGGCATTGAGTGCAGTGCCTGCTGCTTTTCCAGGTGCACAGTGCAAGCGGTCAGTGGATCTACCATTCTGGGTTCTGGAGGATGGTCGTCCTCTCCTCACAGGTCCACTAGGCAGTGCCCCAGTGGGGACTCTGTGTGAGGGCTTCAATCCCACATTTCCCTTCTGCACTCCTGTAATAGAGGTTCTCCATGAGGGCTCCACCCCTGCAGCAGACTTCTGCCTGGACATTCAGGCACTTCCACACCTCCTCTGAAATCTAGGTGGAGTCTCCCAAGCCTTAACTATTGCCTTCTGCACACCTGTAGACTTAACACCACATGGAAGCTGCTAAGGCTTACAGCTTGAACCCTTTGGAGCAGTGGCCTGAGACATATCTGGGATCATTTTAGCTAAGGCTGGAGCTGGAACAGTTGGGACACAGGGAGCAGAATCCTGAGTTTGTGCAGAGCAGCAGAACCCTGGTCCTGACCCATGAAACCATTCTTATTTTCTAGGCCTCCAGGCCTGTAATGGGAGGGGCTGCCATGGAAGTCTCTGAAATACCTTCCAGGCCTTTTCTCCATTATCTTGGCTACTAACATTCCTGCTCCTCTTTACTTGTGCAAACTTCTGCAGCCAGCTTGAACACCTCCCCTGAAAATGGGTTTTTCTTTTCTGCCACATGGTTAGGCTGCAAATTTTCCAAACTTTTATGCTCTGCTTCCTTTTAAATATAACTTCCAGTTTCAGATCATCTATTTGCTCACACATATAAGCAAATGCTATTAGTTGCAGCCAGGCCACATCTTGAACACTTTGCAGCTTCAAAATTTCTTCCACCAGATACCCTAAATCATCTCTCTCAAGTTTAAATCTTTAGGGCAGAGGCACAATACCTCTAACCTCTTTGCTAATGCATAACAAAACTGACCTTTGTTCTAGTTCCCAATAAGTTCCTCTTCTCCATCTAAGACCACCTCAGCCTGGACTTCATTGTCCATATCACTATCAGTACTATCAGCATTTTGGTCACAATAATTTAAGAAGTCTTTAGGAAGTCCCAAACTTTCCCTCGTCTTTCTTTCTTCTTCTGAGCCCTCCAAACTGTTCCAACCTCTGCCTGTTACCCTGTTCTAATGTCACTTCCACATTTTCAGGTATCTTTATAGCAATGCCCCACTCCTATGTAACAATTTTCTGTATTAGTCCATTCTCGCATTGCTATAATTACCTGAGACTGGGTAATTTATAAAGAAAAGAGGTTTAATTGACTCACAGTTTCACAGACTTCACAGGAGGCATGGCTAGGGATGCCTCAGGAAACTTACAATCATGGCAGAAGGCAAAGAGGAAGGAGGCACAACTTACATGGCCAGAGCAGGAGGAAGAGAGAGAAGGAGGAGGTGCTACACACTTCTAAACAACCAGATATTGTGAGAACTCACTATCAGGAGAACAGCAATGGGGAAATCTGCCCTCATAATCCACTCACCTCCCACCAGACCCATCCTCCAACACTGGGGATTATAATTCAACACGAGATTTGGGAGGGGGACACAGATCCAAACCATACCACACAATCACCTCTGTGGCTACCACCACTGGGACTGCACTGGGTCTTGCCCAGAGCCCTATCCAGGCCCAGAGATGCTATCCAGAAGCCAGGGCCTGAAGAAATCTACCTGGTGCTCTATTCTACTGCAGCTGAGCTGGAGCGGAAACCACCCTATCCTTCCCACTCTTCCCTTCTCTTTCCATAGACAGAGGAGTTTCTCCCCATGTCTGCCACCACAGGCCCCAGAGAATACTGCCAGGGTACTGTCAATGTTCACTTAAGGCCCAAGAGCTCTTCAGTAAGCTCATGGTGAATGCTGCCAGGCCTGGGCCTTACTCTTCAGGGCAGTGGGCTCCCCTCTGTTAGGTTCAGAGATCTCATCCAACAGCCAAGACCTGTACTTAGGGACGTAAAGAGCCTGCTTGGTGCTCTTCTCCACTGCAGCCAAGCTGGTATCTAAGCTCAAGACAAAGTCACCTTTACTCTTCTTTTTGCTTTTCTCAAGCAGAAGGGGGTTTCTCCTCATAGCTACCACAACTGTAAATGTACTGAGTCACACCTGAACCTAGCACATCTCAGAGTCTCACCCAAGGCCCACAGCGTGTACTAACTGGTTACTGCTGCTGATTATATTATTCAGGACCCAAGGGATCTTTAGTCATCTAGTGATAAATCTTGCCAGGACTGGGTCCTTCCTTTCAAGGCAGCAGTTTCCCTTCTGTGCCAGGGTGTGTTTAGAAATGTTGTCCGTGAGCTAGGGTCTTGAATGGGGGCTTCACAACTCTGCCCGGTGCCCTATCCTTCTGTGGCTGAGGTGGTATCCAAGTTGCAAGACAAAGTCCTCTTTACTCTTTCCTCCCCTCAAGTGGAAGGAAGGGGTCTCTTTTAGAGCTACAAGTTGTACTGCCTGGGGTTGGGGGAGGAGTGACATAAGCATTCCATTAGGTTCCCTGGCTGGCTGGCCTAGTGATATCACTAGGTCAAATGCTCCCAAAGTCCACTGGCTCTGAAACACACCCAGCACCAGGACTTGCCTAGGAATTGCAGTCCTTGTGACCCATTCAGACTTTAAAGTTTTTGTAGAACCCCAGAGCATTTTAGCCCATGGTGAGCCTTGCTGAAACTCAAGTTCTGACTGCTGGGATGGGTGATTCCCCTCTGGCTAAGGCAGGTCTAAATGCTCCCTCTGAGAGCACTGACCGAATTCTGCCCAGGGTTGACAGCACTGCTTTCCAATGCAAAGCCTCACAATCGCTGCACTCTCCCTCCTCCAAGCACACAGATTCTCTCTGTACCACACAGCCAGCCATTGCTGGGGTGATGGAGAAGGGGTGGTGTCAGCAATTCAAGACTATCTTTCCTATTCTCTTCAGTGCATCTTTCAGCAATATGATGTTAAAACCAGCTACTGTGATTGCTCACCTGAATTTTGGTTCTTATAAACGTGCTTGTTTATGTACATAGCTGTTAAATTTGGTGTTCCTGCAGGAAGTACAATTGGTGGAGGCTTCTGTTCTGCCATCTTTCTCTGCCTCCTCAGGTTGTGGTTTTGCAGAGTCTTTTGTGACAGTTCTTGTTATCAGGCATTCCTGCATGAGTCCCTCCTGTCATGGCCTTTTCTTGCTCCATTTGTTAGAATTTTTTATGCAAGTGACTCCATTTTTATTCTGAAAAATTTCACAGTCCAACAAACCATCAGTACTTTTTGATTAGGCTTAGAATAAAAGAGATTTAGTATTATGACCATCATAATAAATAGCCAAGAAAGTTACTGACACATTTTCTTATTCTCCACCCCAAAGCACCCTACAACATCCCAGAGGATGGGTATAAAGGATAAAATATGGGAAACCAAACGTGTAGCAGCAGCTAAGTATGTCTGATTCTCCTAGGTGGGAAACAGCGTCTTGTTAAGGAAACAGCAATCTTGGAAAACATGAAAAGAAAACTCCAAGTTTCTTCTGCAAGGAACCATGCTAAGTCTATAAATAGCACCCTCTTGTTATTTATCTCTACAACAGCCTCTGCTTCACTCCTGGCAAGCCTATTTGGCATCGTCAAAGAAAATCAGAACTGGACAGCAGTTAAAGGGGCAGCAAAAGTAATTTATTTAGGAACTATTGCAGTGAGAGGTAAAATAGATAGAACTCTGCTCAATACTGAACACAACAAGGAAAAGTAGGGAGTTTACCAAAGCAGCATGGTGGGTCAGTGAATGGAAAATTACTATGAAGGTAGGGTAATTTTTGCTAAACTGACCTTGGAGGATTCTTGCTGCAGGCAGGCCAAGGTGATCAAATATCACCTGGGGAATGGTGGGAGAATAAGGAATTTGATCAGATTTGAGGGTGATCAGGTATTTAGGGTGGGAATTCTGGCTAAACCCACTCAACAGGATTTTTTTTCTAAAACTGGGCAACACAGGACAACACAGAAGCCCAAAGTCAAGGTCTAGTTGAGAAGAGGGCTCAGAGGAACCTGCCTAAAGTGTGGTCAAGGAGGTAGTCTTTGTCTAGATATAGAGGTTAATGAGACAGAATCCCAGACCCAAAGAGCTTGCCTTTTAGTGTGGGAGCCAGACAAGGCACATGTTTTTTAAAAAAAGAATCAATATGACAGTTTCAAGGACTAATAAGAGTCATAGGCTGAGTGCGATGGCTCACACCTATAATTCTGGTGCTCTAGGAGGCCAAGGCAAAAGGTTTGATTGAAGCCAGGAGTTCAAGACCAGCCCGAGCAACATAGTGAGATGCCATCTCCCAGAAAAATAAACATAGAAAAATTAGCTGGGTGTAGGGTCATCCTCCTGTAAGTCCTAGCTACTTGGCAGGATTGTCCGAGCCCAGGAGTTGAGGTTACAGTGAGCTATGATCTTGCCACTGCTGGACTCCAGTCTGGGTGACAGAGGAAGAGAAAGACCCCATCTTTAAAAGAAAAAAAAAGTTGTTGACAAAATAAATGAAATTAAATGGCAAAGAGAGAGTTGGCAGTGAGGGTACTATCACAGGGTGCTCACCTCTAAGTTTCAGTGGGACATGAATGATAAGAAGACAGGCATGACAAAAACTGGCAAAAAGCATTCCCCAGTGAAGAAAAGCGAGTGGAAAAGCCCTCAGATGGGCACAAGCCTGGCCTGGAAAGGGGCAGGAGGAAGAGCAACGTGGTTGGTTCTTAGGGAACAGAAAGAGGATGAGGAGACAAGCAGGAGCCAGGAAGTCTGGGCCTTTCTCCTTCTCTTTGCCACTTCCAGTAAATTCACTAGGTGCTCACTGGTCTGCCTTGATCCTGGCAAGGACTCACAGCCTAGTTATCTCATTTCTGTTCCCTAAAGATCATCCTGCTAGGACGTGGCTTAGGACTTAGGACTTATTCCAGCTACTAACAGGAAGGAACAAGACAGAGCACGAAAGTGAAATAAAAATGGTTTGAAACACTTTCAGTGAATGAATGTTGCCATTTGAGTGTCAGTTAGAGGATTTCCCAGAAAACTTACAGTTGTGGCCTTCCTGTCCTACAGTTTCCCCTCCTAGGGGAACTTCACTTACTCCACAAGGCTAAGGGGAACAATTGAGAAAACATGGGTTTGGGTAAGTTGTCGTTTTTACAAATCTCCTTTCTCTTTATCTTTAAAATAAAGGTTGTTGCAAGATTGGATTACATAATCTGTGCAGTTAATTCCTGGTGTACAGAGCTCCACATGGAAGGAGTTCAGAGGTGCTCCCCAGGGCCTTAGCGCTCCTGCCCATCCCAGCCACTGACGATCATGTCTACATCTCTTCAGTCCTGTGCTGATGTTTCTCGAGGATTATGGTCTAGTTGGCACAACAGTGAGGCTTCTGGGTTTTTATATTTAACCATTTCATGCCCATCTTCGTGAAAGTTATAGCCTTGTCCTATTTCAGTCACAGCAACTTTGCATAAATGCTTGAAAAGCTGGGTTTTGCAGCACCAAGCAGGCAATTTACACACATATATAAAGCAGTCTTCTAGTTGATGAATACAAATCAGACAGTTTAGTCAGCTTGATCTTAACTACAGTGGCATAAGACAGGCGTATGTTTACCTATTGGAAGGAAAATTCTCCTTCTCTTTGCCACTTCCAACAAATTCACCTGGTGCTCACTGGTCGTCCACAAGATTTCTTTTAGGTTTTTCTTCATATTGAAAGAGGCTCAACTTATATGATAAATTTTATTAGCTAGCACTAAAAGAAATAAGTAACCCTGAAGTCAAAGCTTTAAATATGAAAAAAAATAAGGCATGAGATTCTTTTAGTAAATGGGATGCAGGATATGTAATGTTTCTTGGCCAGCTACAAAGTTAATTGATTTTCCTACCTATTGAGGGTTCACCTGTCAACTTCCAGAGGCACTGCACAATGTCCAGCACCTGAGGAGATGTGTAATTCAGAACAAATAAGAAGGTGTTCTTCCCCAACTCTTACTCTTTTCCTCCTGCCTTATATCCCAGGAAACTGTTGGATTGATGGACCGAGAACCATTATTTCTGGAGCAGTGCATAAGAGAAGGGAGAACCTGTATGTGGTAACAGAGGCCACAGAACTGATCAGCACTCCTGTGCTAAAGGACAATAGCAGTATGATTGATTTCAGCAAATGTCCATCCTTGGAATACTTATGTCAAGATACAGAGCCACTGACTGAGTGTTGTGGCTCACACCTGTAATCCCAGTAATTTGGGAGGTCAAGGTGAGAGGACTGCTGGGGCCCAGGAGTTCAAGATCAGCCTGATCAAATGTGGCAAGACTCTGTCTCTACAATTTTTTTTTTAATTAGCCAGGCATGCTGGTACATCCCTGTAGTCCCAGCTACTCAAGAGGCTGAGGTGGGAGGATCACTTGAGCCCAGAAGATCATGGCTGCAATAAGCTGTGGTAGTGCCACTGTACTCCAGCCTGAGAGACAGACCAAGATTCTGTTTCACAAAAAAAAAAAAAAAAAAAAAAAAAAAAACACAGAGCCACCCTAAAGTGGAATGGGGATACCAAGAGCAAGCCAGCCCAGCCTCACTTCCAAGAGGGGACTGGATCCTAATCAGGACCTGTTTCTGGGAGGTCAGAAGGGGTGGGGTAATTATTTCCCACTTCTTGGGTGCCATGAAAACCTGACTCCTGTCCTGAGACTATATTCTAACATTCTCATTTATAGTGCTTTAATATATGAGATTATTCAGTATTGATAAAATTGAAAGTCAATTTAATTATGTGATACTACATTTTGCTTTGGGTAAATGATGGATTCTAGAAGATCTAAAGGGGTGGCTGCTATATTACCTACATGTTTGGTTTTATAGCTGGAAAAAAAAATAAGGAACCAACAGCAACAAACCTTCACAGTTAAAGTACCCTAAATGCTATAACATCCTGAGCAGAAATGTTTTATGGCATGAGACTGAAAAATCTTCAAGCACATGTGATTTACCTAAGTCACTCACAATAACCAACTATAATATTTTAAATTAACTTAACCAAATGCATTTATCAAATGTGTATTCACTTAAAGAGTATGCTAGGGACATAGAAAGTTTGTGAGTGTGTGTGTGTGTGTGTGTGTGTTACAATATTAAATAATATGCAATGTATTTTATGTGTCATTTGTCTGCACTTAAGAGCTTTAGAAACTAAAGAAAAGTAACTGGGAAGTGAAATGACCTTCCCAAGTTTAGTTGGTGAGTTACTCCTAGAAGAGGACTCGCCAAGGTTTGTGAGTTAGTCCCGCAAGAGGCACAGGCCCCACTGAGGTCTTTTGATTCCAAGCCCCATAAACAAAGGCACTTAAACCAAATAAAACATCACTCTCGTTTGAGATTGCTTTGATACCTAGCTTTAGGTTTCCACCTCCTTGAAATGGTGGACTGGGCTTTGTGAGAAGGAGGCAGAAGCCCTGTATTTTTCACACAGGGCAGCTGCTCAGCTGAAGTGGTACACTTTGGTTCTTTTCTCTTCTGTGTGTATTTTCCATAGGTATTTTCTTTTTTTTTTTATTATACTTTAAGTTTTAGGGTACATGTGCACAATGTGCAGGTTTGTTACATATGTATACATGTGCCATGTTGGTGTGCTGCACCCATTAACTCATCATTTAACAAAATATCTCCTAATGCTATCCCTCCCCTCCTCCCTTCCCCCACCCCACAACAGGCCCCAGTGTGTGATGTTCCCCTTCCTGTGTCCACGTGTTCTCATTGTTCAATTCCCACCTATGAGTGAGAACATGCGGTGTTTGGTTTTTTGTCCTTGCGATAGTTTGCTGAGAATGATGGTTTCCAGCTTCATCCATGTCCCTACAAAGGACATGAACTCATCATTTTTTATGGCTGCATAGTATTCTATAGGTATTTTCTTTGTGGTTATTACCACAAGGATTACATAAAATATTTTATAACTACAACTGTGGATTATAGGCTGGTAACAATGTAACTTTAATTGGATAATAAAACTCGACACTTATTTCTCTCATCACTACACTTTACATTCTTCATGTCAGAGTTTATGTCTTTTTAAGATATAACATCTTTGTCACTCAGGCTGGAGTGCAGCAGCACGATCACAGCTCACCACAGCCTTGAACTCTTGGGCTCCAGTGATCCTCCTGCCTCAGGATCCACAGTAGCAGGAATTATGGGTACACACCACCACACCGGTTAATTTTAAAAGAATTTTTTAGAAGTGGGGTCTGATATGGTTTGGAATGCATCCCCTCCAAATGTTGAACTGTGATCCCTAATTTGGAGGTGGAACTTGGTAGGAGGTATTGGATAATGAAGGTGGATCCGTTGTGAATGGCTTAGTGTCACCAGGTTGATGATGAGTGAGTCCTCACTATTTGTTTACATGAGTGCTAGTTGTTTAAAAAGGCCTGGCACCTCTTCCTCTCTCTCTCTCTCACTTCCTCTCTCACCATGTGACACACCTGCTCCCCCTTTACCTCCTGCCATGAGTAAAAGCTTCCTGAGGCCTCACTAGAAGCCAAGCAGAAGCTGGTGCCATGTTTATACAGCCTGCAGAATCATACGCCAAGTAAACCCTTTTTATTTATAAATTACAGTTATTTCTTTATAACAATGTAAAATGGACTAATACAGGAAGGAAATTGGTGTTGAGGGATGGGACATTGCTATAAAAATACTTGAAAATGTGGAAGCAGCCTTGAAACTGGGTAATGGGCAGAGGTTACACAAGTTTGGAGGGCTCAGAAGAAGAAAGAAAGACAAGGGAAAATTTGGAACTTCTTAAAGACTTGTTAAGTTGGTTGTGACCAAAATGCTGATGGACAGTGAAGGCTAGGCTGATGAGGTCTCACATGGAAATTAGAAACTTAATGAGAACCGAAGCAAAGGTCACCTTGTTATGCCCTAGCAAAGAACTTGGCTACATTATGTACATGTCCTAGGGATTTCTAAGCAGGGAGTATTCAAGATGTAGCCCAGCTGCTTCTAACAGCCTATGATCAAGTATGGGAGCAAATGAATGACTTAAGGTTGGAACTTACATTTAAAAGGGAAACAGGGCATAAAAGTTTGGAAAATTTGCAACCAGCCTGCGTTAGAGAAGGAAAGAGGATTTTCAAGACAGAAATCCAAGAGGGTTGCAGAACAACCACTTGCTAGAGAGATATGCATGACTAAAAGGAGCCAAGTGCTACTAGCCAAGATGATGGGGAAAAAGACCGTAAGACATTTTCAGAATCTTCTAGACTGCCCTTCAATCACAAGTCCAGAGGCCTAAAAGGACTGAATGGTTTCAGGGGCCAGGTCCAGGGCACCACTCTGCTGTGCCACCTTGGTAAGCTTGTCTGCCCCATCCCCACTCCTCCAGCTCCAGCCTTGGCTCAAAGGGCCCCTGATACAGCTCAGACCGCCACTTTGGAGAATGCAAGATGCTGTAAGCCTTGTTAGCTTCCATGGCATGTTAAGTCTGCAGGATCAGACAATACAAGAGTAAAGGAGGCTTGGCAGCTTCCACCTAGATTTCAGAGGATGTATGAGAAAGCCTAGGTGCTCAGACAGAAGCCTGGCACAGGGCCAAAGCCCCTGCAGAATGACTCAGCTAGGGCAGTGCCAAGGGGAGATATGGGGTTGGAACCCCCACAGAGAGTCCATACTGGAGCACTGCTTAGAGCAGCTGTAGGAACAGAGCCACTGCCCTCCAGACTCTAGGATGGTAGAGCTGCTGGCAGCTTCTGACATCAGTCTGGAAAAGCCACAGGAGCAGAGCTGGCCAAACCCTTGGGAGCTCACCCCTCACACTATGATGCACACCATGGAGTGAAGGATTATTTTGGAGCTTTAGGGTTTAAAGCCTGCCCTGCTGGATTTCAAATTTGTGTGGGACCTATTGCCCCTTTCTTTTGATTGATTTCTCCCTTTAGAATGGAAATGTCTACCCAATGCCTGTACCACCATTGTATCTTAGGAGAAAATAACTTGGTTTTGATCTTAGAGGCTTATAGGTAGAAGGCACATGCCTTGAGTTTCAGATGAGATTCTGGACTTTTGAGTTGATGCTGAAACAAGTTGACCCTTTTGAGGACTACTGGGAAGAGATTATTGTATTTTGCCATAGAAGGATGTGTGATTTGGGGAACGAGGGGTGGAAAGATATGGTTTGGATGTGTGTCCCTTCCGAATCTTATGTTGAAATGTGATCCTCAATGTTGAAGGTGGGGCCTGGCCTGGTGAAAAATGTTGGATTAGGGGGACGGATCCCTCACCAATGGCTTAGTGCCATCCCCTTGGTGATGAGTGAGTTCTGCTTCTATTAGTTCATTCAAGAGCTGGTTGTTTAAAGGAGCTTGGCATATTTCTTGCTCCCTCTCTTGCCATATGACACACCTGCTCCCTTTCCACCTTCCACCTTGAGAAAAAGCTCCCTGACACCTCACCAGAAGACAAGCAGATGCTTGTCCCATGCATGAACCGTAAGACAAATAAAACAATTTTCTTTATAAATCACCCAGTCTCAGGTTTTCCTTTACAGCAGTGCAAAATGGACTTGCTATGGACTTGCAATACAGGGTCTTGCTATGTTGACCGGATTGTTTTTGAACAATCTTAATCTCCAGCAATCCTGTTGCCTCAGCCTCCTAAGTAGCTGGGATTAGAAACATGAGCCAACATGCCTAGTGGTTTATATATTTTTATATTGTATATCCATCAATGATTTGTATAGTTATAGGTATTCTTAATACTTTTGCTTATTTTTTAACTTTATATGAAAATTAAAAATGATTTATACAACACCAATTTACAATATTACAGTTTTCTGTATTTGTATATTTACCTTCTCCAGTGAGTTTTATACTTTCATATGCTTTCATGTTGTTATTTAACATCCTTTTGTATCAACTCAAAGGACTCCCTTTAGCATTTCTGGTAAGGCAAGTTTAATGGTGATAAACTGCCTCAGTATTTGTCTGGGAAAGTCTTTATCTCTTCTTCATTTTGTTGTGTTTAGGGGAAGGTTGTGATTTAGCTTTATTTATAGGTATGAATCTTGACTCCAAGACAATGAAGAAAACAACCTTAAATTGATTTATACCACATTTTAACTTTATAATGCAGACATACTAACATCTTATGTCTGCATTATAAAGTTATTTCGTATTTGTTTTTGTCTATTTCAACTTTTATTTTAGCTTCAGGGGGTACGTGTGCAGGTTTGTTACAATGTGTATTGTGTGATGCTGAGGTTTGGGGTGTGATTGATCCCATCACACAGGTAGTGCACAAAGTACCCAATAGGTAGTTTTTCAACACTTCACTTAGAATATTGGCCTCCAGCTGCATCCATGTTGCTGCAAATGACACGATTTCATTCTTTTACATGACTATGTAGTATCCCATGATGTATATGTACCACATTTCCTTTATCCAGTCCACAACTAATGGACACCTATGTTGATGCCATGTCCTTGCTATTGTGAATAGTGCTGTGATTAATATAAGAGTGCATGTGTCTTTTTAGTAGAATAGTTTATTTTCCTTTGGGTATATACCAAAAGGAAGGGTAACGGGATTGCTGGGTTGAGTGGTAGTTCTGTTTTTAGTCTTTGAAAAATCTCCCAACTTCTTCCTACAGTGGTTGAACTACTTTACAGTCCCACCAACAGTGTATAAGTGTTTCCTTTTCTCCACAGCCTTGCAAACACCTGTTATTTTTTGAGTTTTTAATAATAGCCACTCTGACTGATGTGAGATGGTATTTCCTTGTGGTTTTGATTTGCCTTCCTCTGATAATTAGTGATATTGAGCTTTTGGCATATGCTTATTGGCCACTTGTGTGTCTTCTTTTGAGAAGTGTCTATTCATGTCTTCTGCTCACTTTGTAATGGGATTATTTGGTGTTTTTCTGTTTTGTTTTGTTTTGTTTTGTTTTTTGATGGAGTTTCACTCTTGTTGCCCAAGCTGGAGTACAACGGCACAATCTCAGCTCACTGCAACCTCTGTCTCCTGGGTTCCAGTGATTCTCCTGTCTCAGCCTCATGAGTAGCTGAGATTACAGGCATGTGCCACCATGCTCGACTAACTTTGTACTTTTAGTAGAGACAGGGTTTTACCATATTTGTCAGGCTGGTCTCGAACTCCTGACCTCAGGTGATATGCCTATCTCGGCATCCCAAACTGCTGGGATTACACGTGTAAGCCACCGCGCCCGGCCAGTTTTTGCTTATTGAATTGTTTAAGTTCTTTGTAGATTCTGGGTATTAAACCTTTGTCAGATGCATAGTTTGTGAATATTTTCTCCCCTCTCATGGGTCGTCTGTTAACTCTATTGATAGTTTATTTTGCTGTGCAGAAGCTCTTTAGTTTAATTAGGTCCTACTTGTCAATTTTTGCATTTGTTGCAGTTGCTTTTGCGGACTTAGTTATAAAATCTTTGTGAAAGTTGATGTCCAGAATGGTATTTCCTGGGTTTTTTTTTTCAAAGTTTTTTATAGTTTTAGGTCTTACATGTAAGTCTTCAATCCATCTTGAGTTAATTTTTGTATATGGTGATAAGTAGGTGTCCAGTTTCATTCTTCTGCATATGGCTAGCCAGTTATCCTAGCACCATTTATGAATAGAGAGTCCTTTCCACATTGCTTATTTTTGTTGACTTCATAGAATATCAGATGGTTTTAGGTGTGTGGCTTTATTTCCGGGTTCTCTATTCTGTTACATTGGTCAATATGTCTTTTTTTGTACCCATACCATGCTGTTTTGGTTACTGTAGCCTTGTAGTGTAGTTTGAAGTGAGCTAATGTGATGCCTCTGGCTTTGTTCTTTTTGCTTAGGATTGCTTTCCCTATTCAGGCTCTTTTTTGATTCTATATGAATTTTAGAATCTTTTTTTCTAATTCTGTGAAAAATAATATTGGTAGTTTGATAGGAATAGCATTGAATCTGTATATTGCTTATGGCCATTTTAACAATATTGATTCTTCTAGTCCATGAGTATGGAATGTTTTTCCATTTATTTGTGTCACCTATGATTTTTTTCAGTAGTGTTTTGTCATTCTTCTTGCAGAGATCTTTTACCTTCTTCATTAGATGTAGTCCTAGGTATTTTATTTTTTGGTGGCGGTTTTAAATAATATTGCATTCTTGATTTGGTTGTCAGATTGAATATTATTGGTGTATAGAAATGGTACTGACTTTTGTATATCAATTTTGTAACCTGAAATGTTACCTAAGTAGTTTATCAGTTCTAGGAGCCTTTTGGCAGAGCCTTGAGGGTTTCCTAGGTATAGAATCTCATCATCAGCAAAGAGAGATAATTTGACTTCTTCTTTTCCTATTCAATACCTTTTATTTCTTTCTCTTGCCTGACTGCTTTGGCTAGGACTTCCAGTACTACGTTGAATAGGAGTGGTGAGGCTGTGTATCCATGTCTTATTCCAGTTCTTAAAGGGAATGCCTCTACCTATTTGCTTGATGTGATTGTGAGTTGGTCACAGAAGGCTCTTATTATTTTTATGTATTTTATTTCAATTCCTAGTTTGTTAAGAGTTTTTATCATGAAGGGATGTTGGATTTTAACAAAACCCTTTTCTGCATCTATTGAGATGATCATACTGTCTTTGTGTTTAATTCTGTTTATGTGATGAGTCACGTTTATTGATTTGCATAGGTTGAACCAACCTTGCATCTGAGGAATAAAGCCTACTTAATTGTGATGAATTAATTTTGGATGTACTGCTGGCTTTCATTGCTAGTATTTTATTGAGGATTTCTGCATCTATGTTTGTCAAGGATATTGACCTGTAGTTTTCTTTCTTGTTGTGTCTTTGCCAGATTTTGGTATCAGGATGATGCTCACTTCATAGAATGACTTAGGGAGGAGTTCTTCCTCCTTGATACTTTGGAATAGTTCCAATAGAATTGGTCCCAGCTCTTCATAATATGTCAGATACAATTTGGCTATGCATACATCTGGTCCAGTGCTTTTTTTGGTTGGTAGATTTTTTATTACTGATTCATTTCAGAACTCATAATTGATATGTTCAGGGCTTCCATTTCTTCCTGATTCAATATTGGGAGTTTATGTGTTTCCAGGAATTTATTTATTTTCTCAAGATTTTCTAGTTTGCATGCATATTGGTATTCATAATAGTCTCTGAAGAAATTTTGCATCTGTGAGGTTGGCTATAATGTTATCTTTGTCATTGCTGATCGTTCATTTGTTCATATTTAGATCTTTCTCTTTTTTTCTTTGTTATTCTGCCTAGCAGTCTATCAGTCTTGTTTATCCTTTTCAAAGAATAAAGTTTTTATTTCATCAATCCTTTGTATGAATTTTTAGGTCTTAATTTCACTCATTTCTGCTCTGCTTTGGTTATTTCTTTGGGTTAGTTTGTTCTTGCTTTTCTAATTCCTTTACTTGCAATTTTAGATTGTTAATTTGAGATCTATCTGACTTCCTGATGTAGGTGTTTTAGCATGATAAACTTTCCTCTTAACGCTGCCTTTACTGCATCCCAGAGATGTGGATATAAGTGTCTCTGTTTTCATTTATTTCAAAAATTTTTTTGATTTCTGCCCTAATTTTGTTGTTTACCCAAAAGTCATTCAGGAGCAAGTTGTTTAATTTCCACGTAATTGTGTGGTTATGAGAGATCTTCTTGGTATTGATTTCTATTTTTATTCCACTATGGTCCAAGAGTGTGTTCAGTGTGATTTCAATTTTTTTGAATTTATTGAGAGTTGCTTTATCACCAAGCATGTGGGCAATCTTAGAGTATGTTCCATATGCAGATGAGAAGAATATATAATCTGGGTAGCTGGGTGGAATATTCTGTAGATTTCTATTAGGTCCAATTAGTCAAGTGTCAAATTTAAGTCCAGAATTTGTTAGTTTCCTGCCTCAATAATCTAATGCTGTCAGGGGAGTGTTGAAGTCCCCCACTATTATTGTGTGGCTATCAAAATCTTTTTATAGGTCTAGAAGTACTTGTTTTTTTAATTTAGATGCACCAATGGTGAGTACATATATATTTAAGAAAGTTAAGTCTTTTTATTGTATTGAACCCTTTATCATTATGTAATGCCCTTCTTTGTACTTCTTGGTTGTTGTTGGTTTAAGTCAGTTTTACGTGATATAAGAACAGTGGCCCCTGCTGTTTTTTTGTTTTTCCATTTGCATGATAAATCTTTCTCCAAGCCTTTACTTTGAGCCAGTGGAGGTTGTTACTGTGAGATGAGTCTCTTGACAATAGCTGCCACTATGTATCTTTTAAGAGGAATATTTAGACTATTCACCTTCAAGATTAATATTCATATGTGAGGTTTTGATCCAGTTGTGCTGTTAACTGGTTGCTATGTAGTCTTGATTGTGAAGTTGCTTAATAGGATCTGTAAATGTACTTAAGTGTGTTTTTGCAGTAGCAGGTATTGTTCTTTCATTTCCATGTTTAGAACTCCCTGATGATCTTTTGTATGACTGGTCTAGTGGTAATGAATTCCCTTAGCATTTACTCATCTGGAAAAGATTTTATTTCTCCTTCACTTATAAAGCTTAATTTGACGGGATATGACATTCTTGTTTGGAATTTCTTTTAAGGATGATGAAAATACACCCCCAAACTCTTGCAGCTTGTAAGGTTTCTGCTGAGAAATCTACTGGTAGCCTGATGAGGTTCCCCTCGTAAGTGATCTGACTCTCTTCTCTAGCTGCCTTTAATATTTTTTCTTTAGCATTGACCTTGGATAGTCTGGTGACTATATGCCTTGGTGATGTTCATCTTGTATAGTATCTTGCAGGTATCCTCTCGATTTTTTTTTTGCTTGAGACAGAGTCTTGCTGTGTCACCCAGGCTGGAGTGCAATGGCGCAATCTCAGCTCACTGTAATCTCCGCCTCCTGGGTTCAAGCTATTCTCCTGCCTCAGCCTCCCGAGTAGCTGGGATTACAGGCATGTGCCTCCGTGCCTGGCTAATTTTTTGTATTTTTAGTGGAGATGGGGTCTCACCATGTTGGCAAGGCTGGTCTTGAACTCCTGACCTCGTGATCTGCCCACCTCAGCCTCCCAATCTGGATTTCTTATATATGATGTCTCCCTCTCTAGCAAGATGAGGAAATTTTTCTTGAATTATTCCCTCAAATCTGTTATCCAGGTTGTTTACTTTTTCTCCTCTCTCAGGAATGCCAATAATTCATAGGTTTGGTTGCCTTACATAATCCTATATTTCTCAAAGACTTTGTTAATATTTTAAAATTATTTATTTTTTATCTGACTGGTTTAGTTCAAAAGATTGGTCTTCAAGCGCTAAAATTCTTTCTTCTGCTTGGTCTAGTCTATTGAGAAAGCTTTCAAAATAATTCCTTAAGTGAGAGTTTTCAACTCCAGAATTTCTGGCTGACTTTTTATGATGTTTATCTTTCTTGTCTTTCATTTCCCGAATTGCCTTAGTAGTTTCTTCATATTAATTTTGATCTCATTGAGCTTCCTTATAATCCATGCTTTGAATTCTTTATCTAACATTTCTGGGTTTCCACTTTGGTTAGGAACATTGCTAGAGTGCTAGTGTGATCCTTTAGTGGTGATACGGTTTGGCTGGGTCCCCACCCAAATCTCATCTTGAATTGTAGTTCCCATAATCCCCACGTGTTGTGAGAGGGACCTAGTGGGAGGTAATTGAATGGGGGCAATTACCCCCATGCTGCTGTTCTCATGATAGTGAGTTCTCATGAGATCTGATGGTTCAAAAGGGGCTTTTCTCCCTTTGCTTGGCACTTCTCTTCCTGCTGCCATGTGAAGAAGGGCTTGCTTGCTTACACTTCCACCATGATTGCTAAGTTTCCTGAGGCCTCCCCAGCCATGCTGAACTGTGAGTCAATTAAACCTCTTTCCATCATAAATTACCCAGTCTCGGGTATGTGTTTATTAGCAGCAGACTAATACAAGTTGTATCACAGCCTTCAAATTTTTCATGGTGCCAGAATTATGCTGGTTTCTTCTCATCTGGAGAGGCTAGCACTTCTAATTTTTCTAATTATTTTCTTACAGGTGGATTTTTTTTTCTTTCTTCATATATTTTTTCTTTTCCTTCTCCTGCCCCTTCCTAGGATGTGTGTCTGTAGAATATGTTGAGTAAGGTCTTGCAGCTTTGCTTGTATACCCCTGTGTACTTCTGTCAGCAGGTTTTATATTAGATTTTGCAGTTTGGCCTACAAGTCAGTAGATAGTGCTTACAAGTAAAAGCCAGCTGCTTCCCAGGCAGATGTGTAAGTACTTGATCTTTGTTTACTATGAGATGCTCTCTGTTGTTTCAGGTGATGGGCTGGACAGTGGATAGCCTGATGCCATGAGCTTCTTCTTCCCAGGATGTAGGGGGACAGAGCTTAACAGAACTGGAGCCCCTGGCTTGCCCACAAAGACACCAATAGTGAGTGCAGACATCAACTCTGATGAGAGCGGCTGGGAGGCATTCCTGGTGAAATGCACTGATGTCTCTCTAGGGGGAGTAGAGGCTGCACAGGCTCCTTCTTTTAGATAGGCAAGAATGTGATCTGTTTCCCTATCACACCCCTGTTCTGGAGCTCATGACTTCTAGGTCAGAGCACACTGTAGTCTACTTCTAGACCACAATGTGGTTAAGAGCCATGAAAAAATGCCTGTTTTGTGACTCTCTATTAGAATGGTTTCAGGACAGGACCTCATCATTCAACCCAATAAATGGGTAGGGAGTTGTGGGGTGCGCAGTCTCCCCATTGTTCCTCTGTTTCTTGGCTGTGACATCAGGGCTGATGGTGAACAAAAATGCCCCATCTTCTTGTTTCCTCCCTGGCCTGAGTGTAGCAGGGGCAGCTGCATTGGCAAAGGTGATTATGAAGGGCTTGTCAGCTACCTCTGGGAAAGTTGGTCCCACAGGAACACAGAGCCACAACCAACTGCAGTGTTCAGGTGGGGATGGGGTGGCTGCACTGGGAGCCCAAGCTAGCAGGTCTTGCCTAATGAGGAGCAGCAGTGGTGAGGAGGGTCACACAGTCTGTCTACTATTCAGTACCATGACTGTAGCATCTATCCTAGGAGCATGCAACAGAGCTTGTCCTTCCTTATTGGTGGGGCTATGTCAGCTGGTGCTGGGCTGCTCAGGGATCAAAAGCCCATAGGGCTACATATGGTCTTGAGCAGTGCCTCTACACAGACTCCAGACAGCACTCTGTGTTGGTCTGGAAACCCAGGGGAGTCAGGGTGGCTTTCCTATGCCCAGAATTGTAAAGTTTTATGGCAGAAGGGCGAATACACTGGGGAATCATTCCCGCATTAGGGAGCTTCCCCCAGCTCTACCCCCGTTCCAGTTGGGCAGCCACCTAGCTTCATTCCTCTCTGTTGTTCATGGATCCCATTGCTTCCTTGGTGAATCCCAGCATGATCTCTTAGATGGTTCACTTAAAGAGCTAAAATTTAGTTGCCACTTAGTTTTCTCTCCATAAAAGAGGAACACACTAACTGCTTATAGTCAGCTATCTGGAGCAAAATATTCTTCTTCATTTTTGAAAGACACTTTTGCCAGATATAGCATTATTTGTTGGCAGTGTTTTTTTCTTCCAGGACTTTGACTATATCATCCCACTCATTTCTGGCCTCCAATATTCCTGTTAATGAATCCACTGATTATCCTGTCGTGGTTTCCTTGTACATGATGATTTGCTTTTGTCTTGCTGCTTTAAAAATTCTGTCTCTATCTTTGACTTTTGACAATTTTTAAATTTTTTTCACAAGAAAATTCAGAAGAGGCCTCTGACAACTTGAGATAATGTTTCTCAGTGTATATTTATTTAGATTCTTCTACTTGATGGTATCTCAGAAGTCCCTTGGGCTCTCTCATTTTTTTTTTTTTTCTTTGAGCTAGGTTCTAACTCTGTCACCCAGTGCAGTGGTATGATCTCATTTCACTACAATCTCTGCCTCCCAGGCTCAAGCCATGCTTCTACTTCAGCCTCCCAAGTAGCTGGGACCACAGGCACAAACCACCATGCCCAGCTAATTTTTGTGTTTTTTGTAGAGACAGGGTCTCATTCTGTTGCCCAGGCTGGTCTCAAATTCCTGAGCTCAAGCAATCTGTCCACCTCAGTCTCCCAAAGTGCTGGGATTACAGGCTTGAGCCACCTCACCCAACCCCCTTGGGCTGTCTTAATTCTTTCTTCTCTTTATTTGTCTATATAATTTTAAATTACCTTTCTTTGTGTTTGCTGTTTCTTCCTTCTGCTTCATCAAGTCTGTTAAAACCTTCTATTGGATTTTTAGTTTAATTATTATATTCTTCAGCTTCAGAATTAATGTTTGTTTTCTTTTTTTGGTTTTTATCTCTTTGTTGATATTCTCATTGTGCTCATTTATGATTTTCCTGATTTCATTCAGTTGTCTGGATATGTTGTCTTGTAACTCTCTAGCTTCCTTAAGACTACTGTTTTGAGTTCTCTGTCAGATATTTACAGATTTCTATTTCTTTAGGGTTTGTAACTGGATATTTATTTTGTTCCCTTGGTTATGTCATAGTTCCCTCATGCTTCATGTTCCTTATCACTTTGTATTGGTGTTGACACATTTGAAGAAATAGACACCTCTCCTAGTCTTTATGGAATGGCTTCAAAGGGAAAGACTTTCACTAATCAGCCTGGCTAGAGATTTTGAGAGCCTCTCAAATATTTTCTATGAATGTTCACATCCTACATCTCTCCATCTCTCCTGGGAAAGAAAGCTGAAGGTTATACACCTTCTCTCAAACTTGCAGAGCCATGTTGACTGCACTAAGCCATCTGCCCCTTTTCCCTAGGGCAGTGCACTGAAAGGTTGAGACATTTAATGCATATTCTACTATTCTTCCTCTCTCCTTGGAGAGGGATCTCAGGGTTATGCACCTTCCTCCAATCTTGCAGAGCCCTGCTGCCTACAGTAAGCCATCTATCCCTTTTCTTTGTCCTTGGCTGCCTCTAAACATTCAAACTATGCTTGCAGCATTTCAGTAAAGACAGAAACAAGTCCTTTGTGCAGGATCACAAAAGGCTGGGATGTTGAACAAAGGTTTCACTCTCTTTTACCCACTAAAGAAGTCATGAGCCAAGGTGATCTCTCAGCACAGAGCTTTGCTGGCTTGGAGGAGGGCTGACTCAGGTAAAGTGAAATTTCTCTTCTTACCTGTTTCAATGCAGCTGTTCTTTGTTTTGTGCTCATCTGGGTTACCACAACTTCTTAACTGGATTCTGGACTTTTCATAAAGGTATTTTTGTCCATATGTCATCATTAAATCAAAGGTTCTGTTGAAGATGAGGGCTGGAATTC